>NC_000006.12:156434426-156585941 GCF_000001405.40 Homo sapiens
TTTCCATTTTTAGGTCTTTGAGGAATCACCACATTATCTTCCATAATGTATCGATATTATTTAGTCAATGCATGAACTAAAAGGAACTGGTATTTCTAAGACACAAACTCTGAACCATAACTTCAAGCTTTGCTTCTCTTGTTGACCTAGGGAGTGTCTGGTCACCTTCCAAGAGGTAGGCCAAAGAAGCAGCTCTTGTTTAAAGTAATAGCAATGGGATGGGCTTCAGTAAAAATGTGCACATCAAAACATGAGGCACCTGCATACAAAAGGAAGGTTTCTGCTCCTAGGGTGAAGAGATTTTGTTCCTTTCTTTCTTTTAGCACAATTCTGTTTACTGTTCAGCCCTAGGAAAGTATATAGTGTTGTTGAAATATTAATAATTATACTACTTGTCCAAACAAACTCTTTATGTTCTGCTTTTGGAAAGGCGATCAAGGTGAGGTGGGGATGGGGCAGGGAGCACAGGGATGCATCTGCCACTTCATTGCCTGACATTTAAATACAGGTTGACACATTTAAATCCAACCCTAACCACACCAGGAAGTGACAGCACGTTATAAAATAATAAATGTGATATCATTAGGGGAGGTGACAAAACCCATTGTTTGTTTTCTGGGCCTCTTCCATGTATTTGGCAGCACTGTCCCAGATGTTTGAGATCATTTTAATTCAGCTGTAAGCCTATCTGTTAAAAAGAAACACAAATATCACACCTGATACCCATTCAAGTTAAATATCCTATGATTATAACAGTAGAACAGGATCACCTTTGTGTTGACCACAAAGTTAAACTCAGTTACCTCCAATTGCCTCCACCTCCACCTCTTGACTGATTTCTGTGGTCTCAACGCAAGTGGGACAAATGGAGTGGCCAGGAGACAACCCAACAAAGCCGCACAGGGCCAAGGAATCTGCACATCTCACAGCCTTCCCAGCACCCACTTCCCATCCTTAATGACTTTCAAGGTTAAAACACACTTCTTTTCAAAGTCAAAGCAGTGGGCAGCTTCATGGCAGCTCTGCAAAGCATACTCCAGTTCTGAAAATGTGCCCACTGCCACCATGTTAAAAGGAAGAGCTGCTTTAATCTCCAGCTGATTGTCAGGGCTAAAGAAAGTCATGCCAGGCAGTAGCCAAGCCAACCCGGGCTGGCTGCATTAACAAACAGAAGAGCACCTGGACACCCATGGTACAGCAAACAGCCGAGATGGTGAGAGGAGGAAGAGGGGCCAGAGCATCTTAACAGGGTCAGAATGACCCTCCAGAGACACCCTGCAGAGACCCCAAGTATCACCCCAAAGTGATCCAAGAAAGGCCTCATGCTTAGGCGCCAGGGACAACTGTTACTGGCGGTGCTGGGCAATGCATTGTCAGTGTACTACTTTGAATGCCATTCCCAAGCCCTCTAAACATTAGTAAAATGATATTTTCATTAAGAATAAAAATACAATTATCAAAATCTTTCCATTCTCATTCTATGACCAGAAAATGAGGAAGACAAGGAGAATGGAGAAAAGTCATCCACAATTCCCACCTTTATATCATAGCCTCTGAAACAAAACATAAGGAAAATAGTCTATCAAGTGGCTCCAGGTGGTGAGCGATGTACAACTGTCGCTGAGAAAATGGGGTGGAATACGTAAGCTTGCTTTCTAGATGTTTGGTGGTCTCTTTTTCTAGGAAGGAACTGATGCTATAGAATTGTAGGGGCTTTGTTTTTGTTTGTCAGATTTGATAGGAAACTGAGAGTTCATCTTGTCCAAATGCCCATGGTGCAGATCAGCTGGGAGGCTGCTCTGAGGCCCACCCTCCAGCCTTCACCTCTTTCCCAGATTGCCTTGCCAACGGCCTCATGGCTGGTAGAGCCCATGGGAAGCACCGGCTGGACCCTAAAAGGCAGGGGAAAGGAAAGGCCAGGACATTGGTCCTCCTGTTTCAATGTCAGTAGGAGGTCCCCGCCAAAGGCTGCATCTCCTCTGAGGCTCCAGGCCCAGACAAGGCCCCTCTCCATGGCCATTGGTCCCTCTGGGTATCCCCCGTGGGGTTTTAGCACTAGCCAGAAGACCACCTTCTGGCTACCCTCGAAGACCACCTTCCCCTTTGTTCCTCCAGCCCTACGTATGTAGATACATCTTGTTCATTCTTATCTCCAGATGGCCTCCTTGCCCAGTGTCACCAATCCCCAAATCTCCTTAGTCTAGACTACATAGAGTGGATTCTGGCACCCTGGATCAATGCTGACTGCTGTACTTAACGGATGAATCCTCTCTACAATGCCTCTCAGGAAGCTTTCTAGGCTTTGCTTAAATGCTTCCAAAGACTTGGAACTTATTACCTCAAAGCTTCCTTGCACAAATAGATTAGCTGGACTATCTTCCTTCTGTCCCACCTGCCTCCCACTTACCTTTAGCCCAGAGCTTCATAGAATTGGTCCAAGCTCACTCTCAGCACCAGAACCCCTAGGTGCCACTCCCATGCAAAGGAAAGGTTAGGGTTGAGTTTGTGGTCTGATCTGAAGGGCAGTTAGAAGGTCCCTCCTGAAATCTCACCAATTATGATTCATTTCATAAGACTAAAACACTGACACCTCAAAGTATCCACGTTACAAAAATACTGCATTCGTGGGAAATGCACAAAGCTGCCATCATGGACTGAAAGCTTCGCAGGAATTTATTCTATGTCTTTCCTTACAGTGATTGGCTGACAACAGGGCTCTTTGGAAAGGGATCTTGATGAAATGAGGGCTGGGGAGGAATGCCTTTGGAGCATCCAGGAGTCCTGGGGTAGAGACAGCCTGCGAAAGTGGCCCACAGCTGGGGCTGTGAGCTGCCAGAGGAGAAATTCTCTGAGCAGTGAGACACACATCAGAGAGCGCAGAGGGGAGAGTTCCTGCAAACAGCGACCACGCGGCAGCTTTGCTGGGATGATCCTGCACACCTTTTCTCAGCCTATCTTCCAGGGTCCCCTCCTGCCCCTTCTTGCACTCCAGCGGACAGAAGCTGCGGCCATGCTTACCTTCACTCCAACAAATAAAAAGAAGGAAAATGCCAACAAAATGATTGCTTGCATTCATATGTGCCGTTCCTGCAAGTTTAGCATATTTCACTGGTAAGCACTGCAGGAAGTAAAAAATACTGCTCAAGAGGAGATTTTATCCAGCTGCCCTCTTCCCAGAAAGTAAACAGATAATAAAATAAATCTAATCAGCATTCCTTTTCACTTAGCTGAAATTAAATTTTACTCATCATGGGTAAGTAGCTAATTACATGTTTAGTGTAAAGAAAATTCCGAGGACATTACCTTATTTACTTTCTTCTTGTGTCAATAGATGAGGGACATTGGCATTCAGATGGAGGTGGCAACAGCTGGCGGCTTATGTCAATGTACCTTTTATGGCCTGAATTCAGAGCTACACAAAGCAAACAGGGGAGACGCTGGAATTAAATTGTCTTCGACCCCAAATCTAGGCAATCGCCCATTGATTTATAGCAACTGCAAGTTCTGATGAAATTGCTTCTAAAATGGATTGATCCCTGGAGTCTAAGTGCTTTTTTTAAGCCAAAATTTCTTGAGTGCTTATCATGAACTAGGTATTTCTTATAGATTTTTATCACAACCCAGGAGGTAAGTCCTCTTTTTATACCCATTTCACAGTGGTAGAAACCCAAGCTTAAAGGCTAAACAACACCTCCAAGGTCAATCAGCTGGTAAGTGAGAGACCAAAATCTGTCTGACATCAAAGACAATACTTTTCATGGTGTGGTTGCCTCTGCCACAAAGGGGCTTCTTTCGGGGCCACACTACAGCTGCCACATGTTCACACTATGTGAGCCCAAGAGTTCTGAGGCTCTAGATCAGGAATGAAAGATAAAAAAGAAAACTCAAAATGCCATGCTTGATCACAGAACCAGTCATCTCTCACCTGCTCAAACCATCGCCTTTTGTCCTGTATCAAGAAAACATCCGGCTTCAGAGCTACCTTTAGGGTGACAGACCTCATACATGGCCACTTGCTTCTCGGCGCGATATCACTCCCCTAAGCTTTCCACTCAGGAAGTCGCTCCTGTATGCTGCACACTGGCAGAGAACACACTTGCTCTCTGTAAAGTGTTTAGGGAATTCAGCAGACTGTACAATCCGTAGTGTTGTTAATGAGAGCTGTGTGTTTAATTCCCCATGCTCTGAGCAGGACCCAGGGGTATTCTTTTTTAACTCGGGAAACACACAAATGCAAATAATTCCATACCAATAGAACTGCCCTGAATTAGTAAGGCTTAAATGAGTCTGTGCACAATTATTCCAGCTCCTGATCATTACTCATCGAAGCTTATGTGTATGTCATTACATTTTTCTTTTAACACACTCCAAACAAATGTCTCCAGTCTCTGGAAAAGAAACTTTTGCAGTCTATTTTTTTTTTTTTTTCCAGTTTCAGATATCCTAGGTCGTTGTCAACATCCTACCAGCTTTTTCATTCAATCTATTTTTTTCTATAGCTATTTTGAATCTTATCTGGAGATACAGTTAAATAAAATCTGTTTGAACCTAAAGACTTGAATTTGTCACATGCAGCCTCTAGACAATAAATAAAAAGAAACAAGGCCAATCACCCTGTCTAGGTGATGGCTACAACTACCAGAGAAAAGTATTTTCCCTCCATGATGAAAAGTCCATTGCAGCAATGATTGCTCAGCAATGGATGTTCCCATCAAAACATGCCCCCAAAGAGTTTCTCCCAGGTTTAGCATAGAGAACAGAAGCTATAATGCTTTTATTTATAGTGACCTGGGAGATAGATTAGCTCATTTAAAGGATACTTAAGACCATAACAAAAGTCATCAACTTTTGATGGTGCCCAACCCTCCCTGGGGAACAAATTCTTCCAGGTTATGTTTCCAGAGACCAACCAGAGATACAGGAATAAAAAGGTGTTCCCATACCACCTGAATGCAGATTGCCAGACCACAGCTAGGTCCTATTGAAAATCATACACTTAGGAAGGACTTACCCCAAGGGAAGAAGTTGGGCAGTACGGGGTACTGTTTTGGGTACCTATCCAAACTAAAACTGCCATTTTAGAGAATCCACCAAAATATATCTGACATCATGTTACCTGAGACCTGGTGGAGAAATACTGTGGGAGGAGGGAGGCAATCCACAAATTTCAGCTTTACTGTGAATTTTTAGTCTCACATTGCAAGGACTCCTTCCTCGTCCCTACTGACACCTGTTCTTGCCTGTAAATTAGGATGTAAAACTTACCGCCCCTTCCCAAAAGACTGAAGGTAGCCTTTGAATTCCTTTCATTTGTATCAATCGGTTATGATTTAACACTGACTGAAAACATAGGCCATCTATCTTCCACTTCCTGTCTTTCTGACTCAGTGGCCCCCTTTTTATCCACTCCACTCTGCCCAGTCTATTTTCATTTGGGGTGAATCACTTCTTCCTCACGAGTTTCTCCATTTTCTCCCCTTCCCTCACCCTCTTGGATTTTCCCTTTCAAATAAAGAAAGTAAATTGGCTTATTGTTTATTATTTCTTAGAACTCTGTGCCTGTTTATAAACTTCCATTGTTTAGTATTTGGAAATGTTATAAGATAATTTTGTAAGAAATGTTAGAAGATGTGGGAAACCCAGGATTTTTTTTCTAATATTGCTCTTAATTTGAAATATGTGCCAGAGTGGTCTAGTATCGACCATAAATGAACCCCTCAACACAAGAATTACAGGTTCCCAAACCCTAGGAACTGATTATGGGTTGACAAATCCAATTACAGTGATTTTTCCTATAACAATAAATGTGTTCCTAAAATTCTTCATGTTATGGAATTTCACATAATTAAAAAATATATATGGCAGATGACATCAGTGCTTCAAACATTTCCCCTCACCTTCTTCACTTGATTGCAGGTGAGCCAGACTGACCACAACCTGTCCCTGTAGACAGGGTCTCTCTGGCCTCTGAAGCCCTTTGCCTGTCCATGTAGAGGATTAGAAGTGCTAGGAAATTCATGCCTCCCAGGACCAGTTCTAACCAAGACCTCACAGGAGTTAGAGGGAAAATACTCCAGTTCCCTTGGCCCTCCAGCACTGGCTCCTTGACATTCCCTGGAGAGGTTACGCTCTAGTCGCCCACACTTGTGGCTGTCCTAACATACTCTCTGTTCATTGCCTTCTTCTCTGGGTGTCATTTCCCCACTCCCCTTCTAATATTTCCTTCATCTCTCAGTTAAACTACTTACACTCTAATTTTTGTCTCAGCGTCTTCTCCTGGAGATCTTAAATTAAGACATAGGGCCACTCAAAACCTTTCTGTTTTTTTAAGTGGAGAAGGAAGGAAGGAAGGAAGGAGAGAAAGAGAGAAAAGAGAAGAGGAAAGAAAGGAAGAAAGAGAGAGAGAGAGAGAAAGAAAAAGAAAGAAAGAAAGAAAGAGAAAGAAAGAAAGAAAGAGAAAGAAAGAAAGAAAGAGAAAGAAAGAAATGAAGAAAAGAAAAGAAAAAGACGGGAAAAACAGGAAAGAAAGGAAGAGAAAGAAAGAGAAAGGAGGGAGGGAGGGAGGGAAAGAGAAGATGAAGCAACAATACCACTATTAAAATGCTACCAAACTTTAAACATGTTACATTCTTAATTTTAAAAAAATGTATCTTTTGATGAATTACCTTGACAAATAGCATGAATATTCCTTAGGAAGTAGGTGTATGAAATGCTGTGCCTTTTGACTTATGAAGATGAGGTAGAAGCAAGGACATCCTAGTTTTCAGCACAGAACATTGCAATACTAGAGGCTGATAGCTATGGCTCACTGTCCGCTATTTCTGTCTTCTACATTGACTTAAAATAGAAATCCAGCTTTGTTTTTTGCCAGTTTCCTTTTTTCATGACACAAAGTGATAGCCTGTTATATTTAGCATGAAGTCATCATCTTCAATTCACTGCAGGTGCTTTTAAATCCCACTTAAATAGAAGATAACTGCTATACAAGTTATTTCAAGAATGAGAATTTAATACAGGGGATTGGTTAAATAGGTAATGGATGACTCAGAAGGCAAGGGGAAACACGGAGGCAACTTCAGGAAGCATCTGCCGCTCCTTGGGCTAGGGGAGAAGAAGAGGAATGAAGCAGGACCCAGAAGGAAGAGCATCACATAGCTGGGGCCCAGACCTATGGGAGCAGCAGTGTGGTCAACCATTCTGGCCCTGGGACACGGGCCTTCAGTGTTCAAACCAGGAGGCTTCCAGGAAAACCTGGATGGTGGTCATCCTCGAGAAGGAGTAATGCTTGGCTGGTGGTGATGCCTCAGGCACTTGGAAGAGGGACCCCACAGAACTGGAACACAGATCTCTGATCAAGGGGAACCCACCAGTTGCTACTGGTACCTCTGAGACATTCCAGGAATGCAGGAAAAGACTGGAAACACACCAACTGCTACTTCTTTGGGCTTCCAGTCTCCCTCTAGTGCCTCCATTGACTAAGCCCAAAAAAGAGCAGCTGACAGAGGGCCAAGTAGACACGTGGCTTGCTTCACAAAGCAGGGTATGATGGCTGGCCTGGAACTGGGAGCAATAGCTTAATAACCAACACAGACACTGGGGCATCTTCAAATTTGCTTTCTCTCTCTTTCGGCACTGTTTCTGATGAGGACTCCTTTAGACCTATTACCTATTCTCTCATTCTTAGATACTTTAAAACATTTTGTTATTTTCAGTTTCCCTCAATACTTAAGGTCTTTCCTTTCAGCTCACTACTTGCATTTGTTTTTGGTTTTGTTTTTGTTTTTTTTTTTTGAGACAGAGTCTTGCTCTGTCACCCAGGCTGGAGTGCAGTGGCGTGATCTCAGCTCACTGCAAGCTCTGCCTCCCAGGTTCACGCCATTCTCCTGCCTCAGCCTCCCGAGTAGCTGGGACTACAGGCGCCCACCACCATGCCCGGCTAATTTTTTGTATTTTTTAGTACAGACGGGGTTTCACCATGTTAGCCAGGATGGTCTCAGTCTCCTGACCTGGTGATCCACCTGCTTCGGCCTCTTAAAGTGCTGGGATTACAGGTGTGAGCCACCGTGCCCAGCCATTACTTGCGTTTTTATAAGCAGGACTCTTATTCACATTTCAAATGCTGTATTAAATTATTTTTGCAACAAAAGTATGCAACCTCAGGGGGACAGCATGATACACACTCACAGAAAAATGTATAAGGGTACACTGGGGCACACGAGAGAGGATGAGGTATGTGTGGTGAGTACTAAGCTCCTCTGTGGGTTATTTAAACTGCCTGGGTGGCATTTTCCACTTCACCTGCTGTTTCTTGGTAGCACAAAGCTTAGTTACTTGGTGAAAAAAATCTCATTTGAGCGAGCATGGTTTTGCATTTTGGTAATTTTATTTGCCTACGTATGTAACACCAAAGAACAAACTCATGCAGAGGCAGGTATTTTTAACAGAAGAGGTGGTATGAGAACTAGGGCTATCTCCTAGACATGAAGTTGAAAATGACAGGAATCCTGGCCTCATACCACTTGGAAGTTTCTCAATGTGTCTCTGCTGGAAATAGCTGTATATTCTCTCTTCTCTCTCCCATGTACCTAAAGGAGTGGTAAGTCAAAATGTTCCTCAGGATTTACTTGATAATGTAAGATGTTTATGCATCTTAATGTACTAACTCTGTATGGATACATAGGACTCACATATTGTGACCACTGTATCTTTATTTTCCAGGAATTCTCAGAATATTTCAATCACAAATACAGCCAAGCCAGGATAGCAGGAACAACCATGGTACTCTTGACCCGAGCAATATTGCAAGGTCCCCTGATCTCCACTCCTACCTGCCTATGCCTACACAGCCTGGAGTAAAACACCTGCCACTCACCTACTTCCAGGGCTTTTAGGAGGGGTCTAATAATCAGACAGAAAACTAGGATCCTTGATTTGTCTTTTCAGACTACTTTAAAAAGCACAATGCATTGCAGTAAAAACCTTTAACGACTTTCATCTTCAAAGAAACACCAAATTATGTTATAATTTATCTGAAACGTTTTTAGATTATTTCTGAATTGTTTCGTGTTTTCAGCATCTTGCTCGACTCACATAATTCTTAATTCCTGTGAGGGTCTGGGATGTAAGCTCGGCATTACAAAATAGGTCACTGGCACGCTCAAGCCTATTCCTGCAGCCCAAAAATATTTTTAGTTCAAATGTAAGCAACCATAAACCTTGATTATGAAAGTCAAATTTTCAGGGGCTTCTGCCGCTTGCTGGAGAAATCTTCAGGGTGCTGATGCCCAGGGCACCCTTGTATGTCACAGAGGGCTGGCCATACCAAGACTGTCCTTAGATGTAGGCATAAAATGTCATTATCACTATTTACATTTAACTTTATAGTTGATGGTTTATTCATTGGATGGGCACACATTTAGCAATAGCAACAAATATATCCCTGACTTGGAAATGACAAAAAAAAAAGCTGAAAGAATTTTAAATAAATTTCTTTCAGATCATCCTTCCATCATATTTTAATCCTTCCATCATCATTTTCTGCTTCTTCACAAGAGGGTTTCCTCTGGCTTTATACTCCTCGACGTTTACCCTCAGCAGTCAAAGACCCACCTGGGCCTTAAGACTTTAAAGTCTAGGCCACAAGGAAGGTAAAATCCAAGTCCAAGACATGGAAACAATCCCCTCACCACAAGCCAAACAGAGAATAAGGATCATCACACGCAGCACAGCAACCACTTGCATCTGGCACTGGACCAAGGGCAAATTGTCGAAGCCAACCAACTCCTAGTCCTTTTAGGACTAGAAGTTCCTCCCTGGACCAAATATTTCAGACAGGCTCCACTTCTAGTTCTTTGAAAGGTAGCAAGAAGTTGCAACCACCCTTAGCAATACCCAGTGGCCTAGAATCCTGGGAACAGGCTCAAACACCATTTGGGTAGAAAATTCACAGAAGCAGCATCTAATTGGGATGCTGAGAACCAAGTCTATCGCTCCTCCTCACTCTGTGCTCCTTGCCATTCTATTCTCCAAAGGTGGTGTGAGCAATCTGCAGGTGAAGGCAACCTGCCCTCCTTGCCTGTGGCCAAGGTGACATTCCCCCTCCTCCACAAGAACCCTTGGTTCTAGCCTACTCTCCACACTAACTGTCAGTCATTCCTCACTCCCCATGAGAACCCTCGGTTCTAACTCACCTTCCATACTATCAATCACTCCCCATTCACCCATACAAACCCTTGATTCTAGTTTGCCCCCCATACTAACTGTCAATCATTTCTCTCCATGAGAACCCTTGGATCTAGCTCACCTTCCATACTATCAATCACACCCCATTCTCCCATACAAACCCTTGGTTCTAGCCTACCCTCCATACTAACTGTCAATTATTTCTCACTCCCATGAGAACCCTTGGTTGTAAGCTCAGCCTTCATATTATGAATCACTCCCCATTCCCCATACAAACCCTTGGTTCTAGCCTACCCTCCACACTGTCAGTCATTCCCCACTCCCCATAAGAACTGCTGGTCATATCCTACTTTTTATATCAACCACTGGTCATCCCATACTCTTCAAGCCAACCTCTGAGACTCCAACTGATTCATTTAAGAAGAATCAAGTTCTGAGTTTCTTTGTTGATTCAATTATTTTATTTCATTTCAACTAAGTCCAATAACCTCCTTGAGGAAAAGGACTCTGTTGATCTCAATGTTGTATTCCCATTGCTTGTCTAGCAAAATACTTCTCACATAGCAGACTCAGTAGTATTTGTTGAATGAATGTCAAATGGAAGAAGGAAAGCATGTCCTAAAAGACATAATTCCAAATGTGATGTGAAACACTGACATAAAGTTCACTCAGGTTAAAATTCTTTTCAATAATAAAATGCATCTTTTTTTAAACATACATGAAAATTTGAGCCTTCTATTTTATTTGAATTTTTTCTGAAAATTACCAGTTCTACTGCTATCTCTTTTATATGTCAAATTGTAATCCTAGTTCCACTTTATATATATATCACCCATTATATCACAAAGTAATACCTGATAACACATAAAATCAAATAAGATATGCATCTGTTTTCCTTGGACGACCTTTGTGAGGAAGGCACAAACATATCACTCAGAAAGGTTTTTTTGTCTCAGTGTTAAGCTCCATGCAGGCAGAGACCTACTTTTTTTTGAGACAGAGTCTCGCTCTGCCGCCCGGACTGGAGTGCAGTGGTACAATGTCGGCTCACGGCAACCTCTGTCTCCCGGGTTCAAGCGATTCTCCCACCTCAGCCTCCTTTAAATTTTCTACTTGTTATTTTTGCTTATGGCAGATTACTGCCCAGCTAATTTTTGTATTTTTAATAGAGATGGGGTTTCACCATCTTGGCCACGCTGGTCTTGAACTCCTGACCTTGTGATCCACCTGCCTTGGCCTCCCAAAGTGCTGGGATTACCGGCATGAGTCACCACGCCTGGCCTACCTTTTTTTTTTTTTTTTTAACTAGTAGCACCAGCACCTAACACATTGCCTAGCACATAGCAAATAGTAGGTATTTAATAAACATAAAATAAATGTATGAGTTAAATGAAAATTGTCCAGTCATTTGCTTCTGCCCTTCCTCATTGTGAAAGACCTGAATCTTTTATTATTCCCATTAAATTCCATTCTCTCCAAGAAGCTGCCCACTCAAAAGTAATCTCTCCTTTCTTTATTTTCTTGTAACACATGGTTTGTACTTCTCAATTAGGTTATAAGCGCCTAGAAAACAAGGACATCTCCATTTTAAAATTTTTATTTACTTCACAGTAATAAGCACAGTGCTTTGAATGTAGAAGAGGCTTGATCATAGTAACAATAGCTAACTTTTAAAAGGCCCATTTTAAGTGATGGGTCTTGCAATACTTTAGTAGCTATACCTAAGGTGAATTCATTTATTTAATCCTCACAACAACCCTATGAGGTAGTTGCTATCAAGATCCCATCTCACAGATGAGGAAACTGAAGCCCACGGACATCAGCTAATAAATGGCCAAGATTCAAGTTCACACATTCTGACTGCAATTTCAGCCCCCTTAACCCAGAGAAAACAAAGGGTTACCTCTGCAAAGCCGGCTAGACAGTCATTGGCCAGGCAGAGCTTGTAGGTTAAGAAATCCTCATGGCCACAGGCCATGATAAGAGCACACAAAGAGAAGGAGCAGTAATGAGATACAACGCCTGTAACTTACGTGTCTTTGCCTGTAATTTACATGCCTCTGATAATAAGCAAAGGAAGTAATAGATGACTTTTGAAGAAAATATTTTACAAGATTATTTCCATTAAACATTTCCTGTCCTCTCACCTTTCTGACTTGAGGTATACATTGACACACAATGGAATTGTTCTTATGTTCATAATTACACTGTACCTGTTAGACTTTTCAATATTCAATTATGTTAACTCAATATAAAGTGTCTCTAAGAACTCAACAAATAAGTAAATAGGAAATGCTTTGGGATACTTTCTTTTCACAGACTTTGGAATTAATTATGCATTTTGCTCTTGTCAAACACACTTTGCCATCTTCAAATACAGGAAAATTGAATAGGTCATAAATTTGTGCTGAAGCCTGAACTATAAGCTAATTGCTTCAACTGAAATATTCTCGTGTCTCTCACATCCTCAAATTGCACTAAAATACAAGTGTACTTCTTCTAAATCCTTTCAAGTATTACAGAGACACATGATGATGGAATTTACTTACACTTCACAGAGATCTTAGAATATTCTGTGTAAGCAATGTATACCGTTTTCAATCACAAATAGAACCTTAGCAAGCACATGTTTAATGTTCACATTTTCATTTCTTTTCGACAGATCCCAGATTCTGATCTCATGTGGTGATTTACAATGGGATAATCATAACTGCTGCATAGGTTTGTTTTCAGGTTTTAAGAAGATTCTCTATAGGAAGTATTTCATGTGCAGTCAAATGCTCTACCACTGACCTATACCCCCAGGAAGTATTTCATGTGAATTTAAGGCATGCATGCTACAAAGCCAACAGGTGGGGCAAGGCCAGGGAACCAGCGAGTGGGTTTAGCCTGCCCACCTCTCCCATGCAGGTGTCATTCTGAGATTTCAAGATGCAAGAGTTTCTGTATGTGACCCTCTCGAAAGAAGAGTCTACTTTTGTTAGAATCTTACACTGTGCAATATTTTGGGGAGGCAATTTTTGATTATCTATGAAAATTAGATGTAGATCACCTCTGACCAAACAAATCCACTTCAAGTAATTTATACCATAGATCTATTCATGCCTGTGCCCAAAGATTAGGCTGCACATAAGTGCAGGTGTCCAGCAACAAGGTGCTTTAAATAAACATGTTTGGCACATCCAAAGAGTAACCATAATATAAATACATACAGTAATAAAGCAGGGTGCATACAAAGAGTAGATAACTACAGAGTTATTAAAAGAATATATGGTTGACTTGCAACCTCATCAAAATAAATTGATAAAGTGTAATGAGTAAGGTGCCAAACAGCGTAGATAGGGTGCCCTGTGGGTGTTTTTAAAATAAGGAGAGGTATACATAAAGAACTTGTATATGCATAGACTATTTCATAAAGGATTCCCAGCAATGTGGGAAGAGTAGTTGCCCATGGGAGGTAGATCTAGAAATTGAGATCTAGCGGAAAGGAGATTTTCATTGTATACCTTTTTGCACTATTTGAATTGCTTTCACCATATTAACAGATTTTCAATTTTAAAACAAGACACCTTTTTCCTACATGGTTAAGATCAACATCCCTCATAAACGCTTGAGGGGATGGATACCCCATTTTCCATGATGTGATTATTACACATTTCATGCCTGTATCAAAACATCTCATGTACCCCATAAATATATACACCTACTCTATACCCACAAAAATGAAAATTTTAAAATTTTTTTTTTTTTAAATTGACATTTTTCAATTCAACAGTATGTCAGGTGGCCAATACTTGGCCTCCGGATTTCTATTCTAGATGAGTGTAACATTAAGCCATACGAGATGACCAGGGAGCATGGCTTCTGGTAGGGTAAGGCACACACACACTTCAACTGGTTTGTGCAAAAATCTCTGGATCAGGTTGCTTGCTGAGCTAATCAGCCATACTTTGGGGTAAAGTTTGTCCATCTGGAGGGAAATTCAAAGCAAGTAAGACAAGAAGATTGCCCTGAAACAGCCTGGTGAGGAATACATCGTTTTCTCTGCTTGGAGCTTTTCTTACCAATTGAAGTGCATCTCACCAACACTGCCTATAGGGTGGGCCCAGCCAAATAAACCTTGTGTGGCTACAGCATTAAAATTTTAATAATATGCATTTGATGTTATTTTATCTCATATGCATATGATGTGCATATATGCACATCATATGCATATGTGCATAATATGCATATGATGTGTTTTATCTCATTGAGAGTGGTATAAAACATTTAAAGAGAATGTCCATATTTTAAAACATAAGCATGTTGCATAACTTAAGTCTCTAATTATACAAGAATGAATTATTAAATGCAAAATGTAATTAGATGTTTAAAATGTTACTAATAGCTCAAACTAACAAAACAAACTGTGAATTATATTTTTGGGCATATAATTCAAGCACCAGTTTTATAGATTTAATGTCCTTGAGGAATATCAGATGTCCTCAAGATTTGGAATCTGATTTAACTGAAAGATATAGGGGGAAACTTTGTAGCTGGACGATTCCCCATTGGCTCCGTATCTAAAGAGGATCAAAAGCATGCATTATTCTAGCTAAGGTTAGCAATAATTTATGCTGAATAAATTATCTGCAGTTTAGCTTCTTTCAGCCAGGGGCACGAGAAGTTATGTAATACGAAAGGCTGTGTACATGCTCATCAGCAGGCACTAGCATGCTGGGACCCAACCAGGCTGAGACTGGAAAATTTGAGCCTCAGCCCAGTTTGCTATTAGTTTGGTACAAAGCCAAGTCACAGGCTCAGCTCTGAGCAGAAGCACCTTCCTGGTCTCTACCCACTCACCTTGTTTGACCTACTACTCACCTTGCCTGACCTGCACTTGGGAAGTGTAGAAAGCATGCCTTCAAAATAAAATAGAATGATAATGCACCAGTTAGAAGTACAAATCAATACACATGCCCCACAAAATGATACTGATCCAGGTGACAAAATATAATTAATTCTCTAAACCAGAACGAATCCCAAATCTAAGGGAGACCACAAATGCTGAGCCAGCAGGCACAAAAATGGCAGGCAGCACAAGAACAGTTCCAGAACTGCCCAAAGAATCTCTTTCCAGGAGCTGGAGTCACATGGGAACTAAAGGAAGTAGGGTTGGGCTCACTGTCCTTGTCATTTCTGAGAGAGCCCAGCCCATATGCTCCTTTCTGTGATTGAGTCAAAGGCGAGACCTTATTAGGAGCATGGGCTTAAACAGTCTAAGAGGCAAATACATTAGTATGTTCAGTCACCTTGCGAGCTAATGACTAGACACTTTAAAGCATAGGGGATCATTATTCCAGCATATCATCAGTGAACTTTCCAGAAAAGCTAATTAAAGGATCCATTAAAATGCTTACCAGAAAGTTAGGGCTTATCAGACTCTTACTCGCATTTGAAGAATTTGCAAGATTTTTGCATTGCCTGCTTCTACAACCTTTCACTTCCTTTTCTGTGATCTCTACACATGCACAAAATTAATTAGAGAATTCCTTATTTTCTTTTTATCATAATTTAAGTATCTCATTATTTCCCCCCTCCTCTAATACTGTTTGCTACCAACCTGACATGGTGACCCAGAATAATTAGAGGCAGACGAATGCTATTCAGACACTCCCCTAGAAGGAGTCTCCATCCAGGGTAGCAGCAGTCCACGCTTTTCCAGAAAATGTCTTTGAGGGTGAAGTCCTGTTTGCTTCTGTCACATCAGAAGTTTTCTTCAACCGTTGGTAGGTCTGTCGATATTCCTTATTTGGTGTCCTCCAAAGTGGGTACCCACAAACTGAGACTACAAAGTGAGTACCCACAAACTGAGACTACAAAGGTAAGTCATTACAGTGTGGGTAGGAAGAAAATATTAGCCTTTCTCTTTGTGTTTCTTTTTTTTTTTTTTTTGCCTCATCTACATTTTAATATGTTTGACAATAAATAAATCCAGACTCTGAATCAGCAGGAAAGCCCCAAAGCTGCCAAACCAGATGAACTTGAGCTTGGTCTTCAAGGGCAAAGCCTAAGATAGAAGTGACATAAGAGACACACACTCCACCCCACAAGGGTAGAACCCCAAAGGGTTGTACTCTCAGTAAAGGTTAACCAAAAAATAAACCCTCCATACTCCAGGACACCACAAGAAAGGTCCTGTCTTAAACCTTAGGGCTGAAAAAAAAATCTTCCCACCAAGCCCCCTCAGATTAGCTTGTATTTCAAAATCACAGCATCTGGCATACTGGGAAACCAAGACGTTTAAAGAGATCCAAGGTTGGCCCTGGCCCCTAAGCATCTAACTAAAGCAAATCTAAATCTTCTCTGAAGGAACCCCAAACTTGACACAGATCTGATAAACTTCCCACAGATATGGACCCAGAAAATACAGACCACAGGGAAGCTACCAAACTCTCAATGAAACAAAGCACCCTAATTTTGAATGGAGTTTCTAGCAGACGATAAGTTTCTAGTAGGCAATGTAGAAAATGGAAAAAATATGAGTTATTAAGCATTTGTTATCTGATAATATAGTGTGACCATTTCCCAGAAGAAACAAGCTCTACTACTATGAAATCACAGAGATAATTTCACATATAGATTGATACATAAGAGGAGCACATTTGCTCATCAGGGTGTTTACAATGTCGTCATCAAGTTCCCATGCTAGCTGTTCACATACGTGTATTATGTCCTCAACAAGAGGCGAGGCACCAGATAGAAAGGTGTGGAGAACAGAAGACCGTTTCCCTCCACAAGCTCATAATCAAGTAGGAGAAAGAGAAGAAATGGGTGTTAATGTTTTCTTGTTTTTCATTTGCTTAGTTTTCCAATATCTATCTCAAATATTTTTATATGTTATCAAATCTAACAAATACACATCAGTATTATTTACCAAAAGCTCAAAATTATCATAGAATCTTTTTTTGTTTTTTTGTTTTTTTGGTTTTTTTTGAGACAGGGTGCTGCTCTGTCACCCATGCTGGACTGCAGTGGTGCAATCTCAGCTCACTGCAACCTCCGCCTCCCAGGTTCAAGGGATTCTCGTGCTTCAGCCTCCCCAGTAGCTGGGGTTACAGGTGTGCGCCACAATGCCCAGCTAATATATATATATATTTTTTTTTTTAGTAGAGACGGGGTTTCATTATGTTGGCCAACCTGGTCTTGAACTCCTGACCTCAAGTGATCCACCCGCCTCAGCCTCCCAAAAGTGCTGGGATTACAGGCGTGAGCGACCACACCTGGCCCATATAAGCTATTTTTTCCCTAACAACCTTTCACCCAAACCCTTCTGCCCTCCTGCATGACGTAATGTTTGGAAATATATACCTGGCAAATTTATGAAGAAATAGCAAGGTAATGCTAAATGTAAAAGTCAGCATATTGGTTGTATTTGAAAGGGGAAGGAAAGGGTAGGACCAGGTAATGAACCAATGGCCTGGGATTCCTCTGACACCCTCAGACTTCCTTTCCCCCACTTTCTTGGGTTTCAGCCCTTTTGCAGGGCCCCAGTCATTCTCTTTATGTTACTGGTTTCTGTTCTCACATTGCCAGAGAAGTCTTCTTTAAAAATTTTTAATATATTATATATATACATATATATATAATGCAATGATATATTTTAGATACATACACACGTAAATACATATATATATATATATAATGAGAAATTCATTTTTGAGTCCTTTCACATCAGGAAATTCTTTTATTCTACCTTCATATATGGTAGTTTCTAAAGACTTTCTCACATTCAGGGTTGCTGTTAAGGAATCCAATGCCCTTCTGGTTCCCAGTATGACTTTTTCACTGTGGAAACTGTTAAGATCTTGTCTTTCTCATGTATGCTAGTACGTCATAATAAAATGCCTTGATGTGAGGTGTTTATTCCTTCACTGTGCTGGATACACAGTAGGCCCTTTCAACAAAAAGAAGTCATGTTCTGCAGTAGAGTTTTTTCTAGTATTAGATCATTAATATTTCTCTCTCTTCTACTTACTCAGTTCTTTCTTTTTGGAGCTTTTATTGGCCACATAGGACCTCCCGGGACAACCCTCCAATTCCTATCTTTTCTCTCTTATATTTCATCTCTTAGTTTTGTGTTTTGTGTGTGGGGGCGGGGGGGGGTGGTTAGATATTTTGTTTTGTTCTGTTTCAGAAAAATTTCCTGAACTTCATTTCAATCTCTGTACTGGAATTTTATTTCTATTACCTCGTTTTTAATTTCCAACAGCACTTCTGATTGCTCCTTTTTCACTGTATCCTTGTCTTCTTTCATACCTGCCGTATCTTTCCCTCTCTCCTGAATAAATTAAAGTGAATTTTGGAGGGTGGACTGGGCATGGCAACTCACATCTATAATCCCAGCACTTTGGGAGGCTGAGGTGGGAGGATAGCTTGAGCTCAGGAGTTTGAGACCAACCTGGGCAACATGGCAAAACCTCAATTTTTAAAAATTACAAAAATTAGCCAGGCATGGTGGTGCATGCCTGTAGTCCCAGCTGCTAGGGAAGTGGGGATAAGGATTGTTTGGGCCCAGGAGGTCAAGGCTGCAGTGAGCCATGATCACGCCACTGCACTCCAGCCTGGGTGACAGAGCGAGACCCTGTCTCAAAAACAAAACAAAGCAAAACCCAATAGTCTCTTTTTTGACATTTTCTTCATTTCCCTGCCATGCCTCTATTTCCTCTGAAGTTTCTTTTCTCCTGTGTGCTTTAGCCTCTCTCATTTTGGAGACCCTCCACAAATGGGTGGTGATCTCGGCTGTCTACTTTTATTTAAGACTGGAGCCCTAAAAATCTAGATGGAAGCTCTAGTTGCCTAGACTGGGCTTGCTAAGTCATAGGCTTCACTATATTATGATGAGATGGTAAGTCAGTTTTTCCACTAGAATAACTTAAATGTCAATATGGAAAGGTCTGTTTCTCCAAAGAAGAATCTAAAAACCTTCTGTTCTGAATAAATGTATATGGAAGTTGGGGGGCCAATGGGAGGGGTGTTAGGATGCAATGCCTGCCTTCCAGTACTTGGGGAGCAGAGTAGAGGATGAGGACCAGGTTTGTTTGGTTTCTGTTTGGTTTCATTTATTTAAAAAATAAATTTCTTGCTGGGCTTGGTGGTTCATGCCTGTAATCCCAGCACTTTGGGAGGCTTGAGGTCAGGAGTTCAAGACCAGCCTGGCCAACATAGTGAAACCCATCTCTACTAAAAAAAAAAAAAACAAAAATTAGCTGGGTATGGTGGTAAGGACCTGTAATCCCAGCTACTCAGGAGGCTGAGGCAGCAGAATCGCTTGAACCCGGGAGGTGGAGGTTACAGTGAGTGGAGATAGCACCACTGCACTCCAGCCTGGGCAACAGAGTGAGGCTCTGTCTCATAGATAAATAAATAACTTACCTCCTGCCTGTCGGGGTCATCAACTGGACACATGAACTGGGGCAGGAACCCAAGGGGCCCAACCACTGCATCCCCAGACTTCCCGCCAATCTCCTGCCCCCAGTCTGGTGCCTCCCCACCCCCTGCCTTCCACAGTAACTGAAGTCTCAGAGCCCTTATTCTGTCCAATTTCTACAGCTGTGGTGTGGATCGTCTCGTCCCTCACAGTCTCCCCTATGAAGCCCCTTGGATTGTAACTTCCTCCACTCTGCTCATTGATTTGCCACTCCAGGCTTCTGGGAATATTCTCTTACTTGCTGGTGTCTCCGATCACCTTCTCTTTGTGTTTATGGGTTTATTCATTTCTATTTTTTGCTGTCATTTCCATTGGATTAGGGGACGGAAAGGAGATAAAGACATTTGGACATTCTGCGATATTTAACCAGAAAAGGTCAAGTTGAACTGTGAGTAGCCTGGCCAATCATGGGTGCCCATCATACAGTTCAGACTGTATCTCAGACTGCCCGTGCCCTTGAATTTCCTATTTAAATATCTGGCTTCTCCCTGAAAAAGTAGACACTGTGACACCTTTGTTCTATTTCCAGGGCCTGGAACAACAGATATTTGTTGAATGAATTAAATTTAGGTAGTTTAATTCATGATCATCTACAACAAAATCATAACTACTGCTTATTTGTTCAACACGTTGGTTCACAGTTCTGCAGGCTTTACAGGAAGTACAGTGTCACCATCTGCTTGGCCTCTGGGGAGGCTTCAGCCATCACAATCATGGCAAAAGGTGAAGGGGGAGCATACATGTCACATGGACAAAGCAGAAACAAGGAGGCAGGAGGGGCCACACACTTTTAAACAACCAGATCCAGCAAGAACTCACTCACTATCATGAGGACAGTCCCAAGAGGAATGGTGCTAAACCATCCATGAGAAATCCACCCCCATGATCCACTCGCCTCCCACCAGGCCCCACCTCCAGCACTGGGGATTACAATCCAACATGAGACTTGTGTGGGGACATAGATCCAAACCATATCAATACCGTACTTGGCTTTCTGCCAAAATCTTTAACATCAAGAGAGTGGGTGCAGCAACACTGGGACCTACGCCATAGAAAAGGTATTAACGGGCTTAAATCCAGGAAGCATGCACCGGACAAAAATGGGACACAAAAGATTATCTGAACCTCGATGAACCGCTGCTGAGTGCTTATCTGCATTCGGCAGTTCAGAGTTGAGGACCACTTTTCAAACTTCATAATTAGTATGTATTGCACATGGCAGTTCTAAAAGTGCTTTCAAATGCATTATCTTGCATAAATAGCTAAACAAAATGATCAAAAGTCAACTAGATGGGAATAAGGCGCTTTTAAAGTTCTGAATGAAGAGTTTTAGAGGCATATTTTTATTATGAAAGTATAACATATTTTAGAAGAATATTTGAGTAACTAATTCCCATAAAAATAGACAAGTCAAATGCATACTGATTAATGCAGTGAATTAAGTATCCCCAACTGTAAGTATGATTCAACATCATATTCCCTGGGAATGTATTTGGACTTGAAATTATCCATTGAACAACATATTTTCATTCAAAAACATATTGAAATGTAAGCAGCTCTCATAACGCTTGCTTTTAGAATCATCGAGTTTTGGCTTTTGGAAATTACTTCTCCCATAGCAAGCAGAAGAGGGAGCAAAGGGCCTCCAGAGAGAGCACACTCCTGAAAGGAAGAGACAGAATCTCAGTGAAGCAACATCAGTGATCAGATGTAAGTGCACGGGGGATGGATGAGTATCCTAGGGCTGCCATAACAAATTACCCCAAACTTGTTGGGTTAAAACAACAGAAATTCATTCTCTCACAGGTCTGGAGGCCAGAGGGCCAAAATCAAGGTGACCATGGGCTGGTTCCCTCTGGAGGATCTGCAGGAGCGTGCGCTCCATTCCTCTGTCTTGGCTTCTGCGGGCTGCTGGCAATCCCTGGTGTTGCTTAGCTTTTTCTGGCTTGGGGCTACACCACTCCAATCTCTGCCTCTGTCTTCATCTGGCTCCCCTCCCCTCCTCCCCCCTCCTCCACTCCCCCCCTCCTCCCCTTGTCCTCTCTCCTCCCCACCCCTTCTCCCCCCTTCTCCCCCCTCCCTCCCCTCCTCCCCTCTCTTCCCCCTCCCCCTCCCCTCCCCTCTCCCCTTCCTCCCCCCTCCTCCCCATCCCCCTCTCCCCTCGTCCCCCTTCCCCTCCCCTTCCCCCCCTCCTCCCCTTCTCCCCTTCCCCTCCCCATCCCCCATCCCCTCCTCCCCATCCCCTCCCCTCCCCCTTCTCCCCTTCCTCCCCTCCCCTCCCCATCTTCCCCCCTCTACCCCCTCCCCCTCCTCCCCTCCTCCCCCCTCCTCCCCATCCCCCTCCCCTCCCCTCCTCTCCTCTCCTGAGGACTTACCATTGGATTAGGATCCTCTCTCATCCAGAATGATCTCAAAATACTTACCTGAGAAGACCCGTATTCCCTAAGTCAGATTCTAAAGTTTAAGGTGGACATATCTTTTGGGGGACACAATTCAACCCTCTATAAAGCATCTCTCACACAAATGTATAACTTAAAAAATAATTGTTCCTTGAAGTTATATTTGGTTATGAGTTTATTTTTTTAATCCAAGCAATAAATACCTAAGGACAATTTGATTACCATTTTTTTCTTCTGAACTTAATTTTTAACTAGTGAGCAGCTTTTTGAGATCATAGCCAGGTCCAGGTGACTGATTGCTGAGGAAGGGCTTTCCAAACCCACCTCCCACAACATGTGGGGGAAAATGAGGCACTTAATATTACTGGAGCCACAGCTGCCCCAGAAATTGGCTTCAAGTAATGCAGCCCTGTGCAACCCTTCACCTTTGGTACCAAGAGAAGAAAATATCTCCATATTTGAAAAATGCCCTGCAAAATCCTAAGCAGAAGAGATGAATCAAAAGCGTTATAAAAATTAGGGAAAAAATAAAGTCTAAACTAATCCAAAATTTGCTTTATGCACAGGAAGCGTTTAGAAGCTGAACCTCAAGAATGGATTTTGCAGGGCATTTCGTAATTGCCTTAATTATGAAAAACACTTTTTATTGGATTAGAGGTGCAATTTGATACTCTTTGGATACTGGATAAAGAACTTGGTAATTGTATCAAATGATGGACAGGCTTTCAGGCTCCTGCACTTGTTTTTTGACTCTGTGATTCAAGTGTGAAATTGATCTGAAGTCTGCATGGGTCCTCTATCACTTATGCTCAAATATAAGCAACGCGGATTCATTTGCACTAATGCAGTACAAAATATCCTTTTGGTGTGCAAAACTCAAACGTATCTCTTAGAATAGGGAGTCCAATTTATGTCATGCTATAATCATAGCAGTTCTAAACTAATTTAACACCCTGAAGAAGTTAATTAACATCATTAAAAAGTGCATCCAGTCAAGTATAACATGTGACCCAAATAAATAATTGAATGAACTTTCCTACTCCAGTGGTGACTTGTTCCAAAGCTGTCCTCTTTCATCAGACCTGGTCAACAATTGTTTGAAACATCTGACACCGACCACATTAGATGATTTTCATGAAGGTGTAAACCTACATGGCAGCCTAATAAACAACTTAAGTTTCATGGCTGACATTGATTTATACATCTTCTAAAGAGATGGTGCATGAAATGATCAGAACAGTCAATAATGCAAGCAAAATGTATGGGCTTGAGATAAGAGAGCAGAAAACAAAATCAATGCCTTCCAGCTATTAACAGCATGCAGCAGAGTTCATAATAGACAGCATTAAACCTGAACAAGTTGCATCATTCAAATACCTCAGAGAAACTGTCACTCCAACAGTAATTGCAAGAATAGCATTCACATAAATGAGTATATATGGCTTTAGCTTGGCCACTGAAGGCATTTTACCAACTAAAAGCTACTTAGATGAGTTGTTTGAGGTGTATTCTTATTGCAAAATTTTTAGAGAAGGTCACTAAGCGTACTAATAAGAATCATTAGGTGCATAAACTTAGATAATGAAGAAAGTCAATACATAGCTATAAACCTTCACACACAAAACAGACATACAGAAGACAAAGCAATCAGCTGCACATGGGTGTTTTTCTCCTTTAAAGGAATGGAATTGAATGGAATTAAATATCGCTATCTTGTGATCAACATAGTCATTTTTAAACCCTACAGGTCTGTCTCAGGAATATAAAGCATTCTAGTAAAGCAGTCAGTGTAACAGAGTGGTTGGGCCTTGGGGATCATGATGACCTGTGTTGATTTACACCTTAACCACTTATTATCTTTATCACTTAACCTCTCTGGGCCTCTATTTATTCATCTGTACCTTGAAATTAATTCAAAGTACCTTGCAGTGTTATTGTAGAAATGTAATAATACAGGCTGGAGGCCTGGGTACATAGTATTTCCTGAATAAACATACATCTATCATCAATAGATGTATGATTTTGTTTGTCCTTATAGCAGACTTCTTTAGGGACTAGTAAATTATGGACCAGTAAATTAAGATACGCATTTCAAAACAAAGTCAGTCCTTCATAATTATTTATTAACTGTGAAAATTATAATGTTCAAATTTATAGCAGCTAAGCGAATAGTCAACCTGCTCTCCAGCAATTTAAATTAATTCTGGAGAACAATGCACTAGCAGTGACACTCATATGCACAGATTAGTGCTCACCTTACCTTACTTTATAATTAATCCAGGTAAAGAAGTATTCGAATAATCCTAGCTTTGATTTTCCATTTAATCTTAAAACAACTCTAAGTATCAGAAGATCCTTCCAAGTATCATGTCTACTATGAACAGCTTTGCATCTCAGTAATACATCCCATTTTCCATTAGAATTGCTGAAACTTCAAACACAGCTTCATCATTTTGAATTTCTACTGACTAGTTTTTCTGGTAGGCAGCGTGCATTAGAGGAGAGTCACATGGCACATCACTAACAGCAATTGGTAATTTTTATCACACAACTGTAAAAATTATTGCCTTTCTTTCTTCACTGGTGTCTTGAACAACTATTGAACTATATAAATATTTTGTTGAAATACCATATGAGAACATTATTCAAAATGTAGAAGTGCAAATGGCTATGTGCCAGGGCATCCAGGGTGAAATATCGGCTCTGGATGGAAAAGCATCCATGGCTCTAGCCCTGTGCCGGTTATTCAACAACAGAAATAGAAACGCAGACTCTCCGTTAGCTGGGAAGGTGATTCTGCAGCAATCAAAGCCTTAAAAGCACAGCTGTTGCTGGGCCCAGAGTCCCCGGTATGGGAAATTCCAGTTGAATTAAATGCCTTTCCATTGAGCCCCACAAAGAGCCATTGGTGGCCTTTTCAGCTGACCTCATGCTTCATTTGGTACAGCCCAGCACAAGAAACCATAGAACGACCAGCTCTTGAGAATAAATTATTATCTACTACCCCACTGGAAAAAGGCTAAATAAAGATGCCGATTTATATTTCTATTTTCTGAGCAGCCACGGCCTGCAATGACAAACCAGCCACAGAACACTTTCTGATTGGGAGGAACAATAGCCAAGTTGGGAAACTGATGGTCACTGAAATGCCCAAAAACTGTATCACTAAAAATAGAAAACAGAAGCACTGGTTTGATCATTGGGGTTGAATCTTTAAATCAGTGGTTTAAAAAATGTGGAAGTGGCCAGGCACGGTGGCTTATGCCTGTAATCCCAGCACTTTGGGAGGCCGAGGAGGATGGATCACGAGGTCAGAAGTTCGAGACCAGCCTGGCCAAGATGGCGAAACCCCGTCTGTACTGAAAATACAAAAATTAGCTGGGCGTGGTGGTGGGTGCCTGTAATCCCAGCTACTCGGGAGGCTGAGGCAGGAGAATCACTTGAACCCGGGAGGTAGAGGTTGCAGTGAGCTGAGATCGCACCATTGCACTCCAGCCTGGGCAACAGGGAGAGACTCCATCTCAAAAAAAAAAAAAGTGGAAGAGCAAGTGATGTTTAATAACCCCAGATCTCTCTCCTAAACAAAGTCATGAATAAAAGAAAAAAAACCTCATGAGCAAAACTATTGGTGTTCAAAAACAGGGAGAGGCAGCTGAGCCCAGGAAGCAAGTTTTCCAACCTCTGCTAATCACCCTGTCTCTTCCCTGACCACACTGGGTCCTCTGGGCACTTACTTGTGGAGTTCCTTACCCCTGAAGAATCCATAATCCCATGGGGAAAGCAACACCAACAAATATTCAATGGCCAAGCACTGTCAGAGAATAGCTTTGCTGTGTTAAAGCATATGATATAATGTAAATTCTGTAGAAGTTCAAAGAAAAGAGAGATCATTGGGAAAGACACAGCCGACCCCACCTGCCACACAGCCACCTTTGCTGGGCTACAGTCAGCCAGGCTGCTCATTTCTGTGCCTTTGTATCCATCCTTGTGCCTCAGACTGTGCAGTTCCCTGACCACAGGAAATGTCACCTGCTCAGAATACCCCCTCTTTCCTGCTGAAGCTGTCCCAGGTCGCCACCATCCACAGGTGCTCAACAACTGACAACACCCACCCCCCTCCACGCCGCCCTCAACCATCTCTCCATGGCTATAAATATCTAACAAGCATTTGGACATAGTTGATGCCAAGGGAAGAAAGCAATTCCGAATCTTTCACATACTCCTTGTAATAACAGAAATTGGTTTGCCCTCTTTTGTACAAACCTTTTAAACCATTAATCCTTCTAATAATTTTAAAGACGGTATCATGAATGCTGATAAGGTCTTAGCTACAAGGATATTCATCGCAGCTGTGTTTATATGGTGACAATTTGAAAGTACTCTAAATATCCACCAATAGGGAATGCAAGGAATGGAATATAATGCAGCCATCAAATGGTATAGTAAATGAATATTTATGAACATAGAAATATGTTTAACTTATGTTAACTGGGGAAAAGCAGGATACTTCACAACATGATCCTATAATTTATACACATAATATGTGTAATTTATATATAAATATGTATAGATACATATATAATTTGTATATTTATATAACTATATGATCTATATATAACGCTTCTATGCATAAAAACTATCTACCATCAGCTGAGGTGCTTTTCTGTTTTTACATTATTGCTTTTTGTATTTTTCCGATTTTTCTTTGATAGAGAAAGCAACCCAAAGATACGTATCATAACTATTCCAACAAAACTAACATTCTCCTTTTTATTATGAAATATTTTATTCCTACAGATAAGTTTATGAGAGCTAGTAAATACCTAAGTACCGACCACCAAGCTTGCACAACCCTATTTTTGGACAACTTTGCTTTTAACGCAGGGGCATGTGAGACAAACCAAAGTAGGTCAGAATGCTGAAATGCTCCGTGTGTTTACCCTCCAGTAATGAGAGGTTTATTTCTGACCCTCTTAAACTCAGTTTTTAACTGCCCAGAGTATCTCTAAAAACACCCTTTCACCCAGCCTCTGCACCAGTAATAGTAACATAGAATGCAGTATAAAGAACCATGATTTTCCCTATTCAGGGAGCTGTTATCATCTGCTGTTGTGTGCTGGCTATGGGGTCTGTGCCCAAGCCTGCACACTGCTCACCTCCTGATTTACTTAAATCTTTTTGCTTCTATCAACCACAGGGAATGGGGACACTTACAGGTAACAACTGACAATTTGAACAGAAAATACAGAGAAAAGCTGTGTAAAGCAAGTGGCTCAGATTATAGCTGTTGACTTCTAATATTATTTGATAGATGAGGCTCCTGCAATTATCTACTGCTCATGGGTTCCATTACTGGAACAAGAAGCACACAAAATAAGGGCAATTTCCCAAACAATATATAGGACCACTTAACTTTGTCAAGAGCCGTTTCTGCAAGTGAAGTCCTCCTTGTTAAAGACACGAAGATAATGTGCCAGCCATTTGACACAAGCATTTAGTTCATACCACATTAACTGCCTTTTGTTATTTCTGCCATGCTCTAATTAAGGCCAAATTGGATATTATTTTTAACTAAACGTTTGTTTTAAAACGCAGTCATGGAATCTACCATTCTTCTCTAAATTAAAGTAAAAAGGGGAAAAAGTTCTAAGAAAAATTTGAAATCCCTTAAACAGTTGAGTGAACAAAGCTGCCATCTTAAGTTTTCATGAATCTTCCTTGCAACTAGCTAGCCCAAAATTACTAGAACAGTTTTCATTCCTAAAAAAAATAATAATACTCTGTGGTTTAACCTTATGTTATTATGTAAGTCAAACAGAAATTCTGTCTCTAGAAGAAGAAAAAAAGCAATATATTTTCGAAAGACAAAAAAAAAGTGCCTCAGCAATGAACTGAATTATTGCATCCATGTTCACTATTAATTCGTGTTGCATTTGGATTTTGGATTGAGCCATAGGGCGGAATGAGTTTAGGAAATATTACAACTGCATCAGGAATTACATTTGTTTCTCACTCCCACCTCCTTACCCATCTTGGAGAGTGGAAAGAGAAAAGGAAAATCTGAAGGAGATAAGAAAATATTTAAGTCGGAAAAGCACACCACAACTTCTACAGAAACCCTGGCTGATGATTTTATGATGAAAAAATCCCTATCAATGATACTCCAGAATGGGGGAGGGGTGGCCACCAGCAAGCTCACCCTAAAGGCACTTATCTTTATCTCCTAGACAGAGTCCGTAAGTGTAAAATTAAATACGTCTTATTTTCTCGATTAAAATCTCCCTGAGTTTTTTCTCTCTTTATTAGTGTTGCTTTGATGTATTTCCAAGCCAAAATGTGGGAAAGTCTAAATGGCATAAAGGATATTGGACTTTTTTCCTTCCCTTTCCTTTTCTCCTTTATCACCACTTTTCACCTAATAAGGAGTTGACCAAACCTGACCGCTGGTAGGGCTGTGTCTCCTCCCTTGACCAGGTGCTCTGAATTCTCATAGGCATTTATCTGAGAAATGCCCCTGTACCCTAAAATCTGGGTCACCGTGAGCAACCGTTCATGGAGTTGGTCAAAAGCATGCTCCTCTTCAATAATATTCAAGAGAGATGGTTAAGTCCGTACAGTTTAATTATAACATTCAGGATTTTTTTTTATTCTTTCTCAGCTCCTGAAGTCTTTTAAGTCTCTCTTAAAAGGGCCTCTACACAAAAGGTAACTTCATCCTGGAGAGAAAGAAACTCAGACTTGGCCATACCACTTCCACTTGGGCATTGATTAGATGTCTTTTTTTTTTTTTAACAAATTCAAAAAGAAAGGGGACACGATTTAAAACTAAAATAGAACCAGGCACATTGTACAAAGGATTATTTCAAGTAATTCTCCTTGAAACTATAACAAAGGAATGTTTCCTGGGGATTAAATGGACTGTCAGGTAATCAGAAAAGTTCTTTTAGGTTTTTTCCTCAGGAAGAAAAAGAGCACTTTGGATGGATTTTGTTCCTGGCATTTTGTGACACTTTACAGCTTATTCCCTGGTGTCACACTGATTTATTTTATTATTCATGAGCTCCGTGAAGGAAGGAATGATCTTAGAGGTCCGCAGCTGGACCACACTAATAGATCCTTTTCCTATCCTCATCTACTGTTACTTTAATATGGATAAGATTGTTTTATTAATGAGAGCAAATGGGTTTCCTGAATATCAGCCTCTCTTTTGGTCACTCTGGAACCTGATATACTTGATTAATTTATTTTCAACTTTTTGAGCACCCACACTATTTTTGACACGGTACTTTTAAAAAACTTCAGACATAAATGAGCAAAAGCTGTACCTCCAGGAAGTTACATTCTACTGAAACAAGACTGACCTCCATTACTAATTGATGATGCCATAGTCAACTGTCAATTATTCATGTAAAGATTATCCATGACACACCGTGTAGAGCACCCATCGTGAATTTCTAAATCCCAGGCTTTTCCACCTCTCAACTACACAGACTTAGGGGTTGTCATGCGAATCACCTCACCACACTATAGATTTAGTTACAGAGCAAAGGAAGCCAACTGCCTCAACCTCCTATCGATCAAAATTTTCATTTAGTAGGCAGGCATGGAGTACTTCAAATAAGGTGCTATGTTAAACACTTCAGAAACAGATGGATTAAGTGTATATAAGGTGTACCAAGATACCCATAGATAAGAGTGGCTAATTCTATCAGCGAAAAGAAACAGGAAAGGTTTCAACAGGAAGATGACACTTGATTTGAGTATTGAAAACTGAGAGTGCGTTGAGGGGCAGACAGAAAGAGAAGACATTCTCAATGCAGCATAAGCAAAGGCATAGAATTCTGAAACAGTGCAATGCACTATGAAATCTGCAACGTTGTTTAGTGCGACCATGAGACTGACAGGTGGGAGGAGGATAATGTGGTTTCTAACAAGAGATAGAGCTGAAAAGATAAGCAGAGAAGTGGCCTCAACAGCACTTCAATACTTTTCTATTTGAAGGGAAAGGGAGGAATCTAACATGACCTGCCTCCCATAGAATATGGCTTAGGCAAAATACTAGTCAGGTGCCATCGCTAAGATTGGGAATATTGGACAAGCAACATTTTCAGGGGGAAGATAATGAGTTCAGTTTTGGACATTTCTCTCACTTTCATGCTGAGAGTCATGAATGGGTTATAACCCTTAATACCAACACCTGGGTTCCACGGTTAATTGCTGCTGAGCTAACAGTCAACTAAGACCAACAGATTATTCTCTCTCATACCTCTATTACCTGAGACAGGTCTCTGTATTCTGTGTGGTTTCTTTAGCCTAGTGCTAAAGGTTGCACCAATTCAGACAGAAAAAAAAATCCGAAAACCAAGGGTTGGTTATCTATATTGTCCAATCTCATTTTTTTTAATTTATTATACTTATTCTTCTGTTTTGCCTTGACACTGCATAGGCTATGTTGTGAGACAACTTGTCAGGTCCAAAAAACAGCCTCACAATTCACCTTAAAATTGGCCTACATTGACCACAGAGGGAAATAGTGCCAAAATGTCTCGCAAATATCACTGGGAAGGTAATATATTCATTCATCGATTTGTTCGTTCGTTCATTCAACAAATGTATAATGAGGGCTTGCCACAAGCCAGGCCAGGAAACGCCATAGTGAACAAGGGAGGCTGTTATGGGGTTTATATTCTAGTGGGTGAACAGACCCCAGACAAGTGTTTTGAGCTGTGAAGAAATGAAACGGGGCGAGATAACTGGAGGTGATGGCAGCTTCAGACAGAGTGGTCAGGGAAGGATCCACTGAGTAGATGACATTGGACTGAGAGCCAGAAAATGAGGGGAAAAAAAAAAAAAAATCAGATGCCACAATTGGAGGAAAAAAACACTCCAGAAAGAAGGACAGCAGGGAAATGAAGACCGGAACTAGCCTGGTAGGTTCAAGAAACAGACAAAAACAACCAGTGTGGCTGGAGCAGAGTCAGCAGCGGGGTGGGTGAAAGAAGCTAACGGGAAAAAGTAAAGCCAGCAGGCCATGGAGAGACACGTGGAGAGGAAGGAGGAAGTGCCCCCTGCCTCAGCCTCAAACCCCAGTCTCAGCCCTCACTGGGTGACCTCAGTCATGTGACTTGACCTCTCAGGAACTTTTCTTTCCTTCTCAAAATTGCAGTCGTAATATTTTTATCACTTAAGAAGAGTGAGATCAAGTAGGCAAAGTGACTGGCACACAGAAGTGCCTAAGAAATGTGGGGTTCTGCCTCTCCTCTTCTTTAACAGCAACCAAGGAAGACAATGTGGGTTGTGCAAGTTTAAAAAAAATAAGGCACCTTTTCTGGTCTAAATATGTTAGGTCTTCTTCCATGCAGCTCTCATTTCTGGGGCTGACCTTCAGTGAGCCTGACTTTCAGGAACCCCAAGGGCCAGAGTCATGGTTGCTGAGATGGATCAGGCCATGAGATGGTGAAAAATGTCCCCCTTCAAGCCAGGAGACTTTCAAATTAATTTCCTATGTCATCCTGGTATATGTGAGCTGAGGTCTCACAAGATGAAAATAAAACAATAGCTAACTCTGCAAGATAAATGCTTTTAAAAATCAACAATTACTGTGAGGTCCCTAGAGAAGGGTACTTTCAAATGCAGGTTCTTCCACTTGAGCACCACCTATACCCTGCTTCCTGGGGCTTGGGGGACAGAGATACCAAGAAATATGAAATATTCCTGACTTGTCAACTTCCCTCACCGAGCTACCTGGGATGGCCATCTAAGTAGGATCTTAAGATCTTTAAGAACCTCTTTTCTTTCTAGCCACCTCCCTATCATCTCTCCATCTTTCTGACATCCCTAGAAGTCTAGCTCTGGCCCCATGGCTTCCATCCCCTCTGCTTTTAACTTCTCCTGTCAAAAATAGAGACATCGCCTTTTCTCCATGGCCAATGCCTTGCAATTTCATCTCCTCCTACACGTACAAGGAGCTCTCACTCAAGGGACAGACTGTCAAAGTTTGCAGCCCCATGCTGTCTTGCCGCCTGCATTTTAGCCAGGCACCCCTGCTGAAGAAGAGGCTGGAAAAAAAATAATTAATAACTAACTCACTCACTGTCACAAGAGATTAGTGGATCAAAATGCTTGCTGGCTTTATTTAAACATCGGCAAAAAAAAAAAAAAAAAAGGTCAATTTACATGTAACCTTTATCTCCATTCTCATGAACATCCAAGCCTTGGTTTTGCTTTAAAATTTGCTCAGACAAGGCACAGTGGCTCACACCTGTAATCCCAGCACTTTGGGAGGCCAAGGCGGGCAGATCACGAGGTCAGGAGTTTGAGAACAGCCTGGCCAACATGGCAAAATCCCATCTCTACTAAAAATATAAAAATTAGCTGGCATGGTGGCGGGCACCTGTACTCCCAACTACCCAGGAGGCTGAGGCAGGAGAATCACTTGAACCCAGGAGGTGGAGGTTGTAGTGAGCTGAGATCACGCCATTGTACTCCAGCCTGGGCAACAAGAGCAAGACTCCATCTCAAAAAAAAAAGTGCTCAATAAAAGACTGTTGTGGGATTTCATTATACAAAGTTAATTGTTCTTCATAAAATGTCTTCAAAAATTGTGAGTAGTGCATGAAATGGTGTCCTCAAAAAAATATATACCCACATCCTAATATTTGGAAACTATAGATATGACCTTATTTGGAAAAAGAGTCTTTGCAGGTATAATTAAGTAACGGATCTTACAATATCATCCTGTGTAATCTGAGTGGACCCGAAATCCAGTCACAGACATCCTTAGGAGAGTGAGGCAGAGGGAGATTACCCAGAGACAGAAGACGTGGAGGCCGTGTGACCATGGAGCACCGATGGGAGGGCTGCAGCCCCAAGCCAAGGCATGTCAGCCGCCACAGACGCTAGATGAGGCCAAGAGTTGATTCTCCCTTCATGCTCCTGGGGCGAGTGTGGCCCTGCCAACATCTCGATTTCAGACTTCTGGCCTCTAGAACTGTGAAAGAATAAACTTCTCTTCTTTTAGGCCACCCAGTGTGTGGTCTTCTTTTACAGCAGCCACAGAAACTAACACATTATGTTTAAAGGAAGCAGCTAAGATAACTACGGTGATTTCTTATGGATGAGGTGCTTTATGGAATGGCTCTTCCTGCCAGTGGACATCTAAACTTGGTCCTCAAAACCATACACCCTAGCATCCAAACAATTATTCACGTTCTGGCAAAGGAATGATGCTGCAGAAAGCCTAAGAAAGAAATCATTGTATTGCCCTTCAATCTCAGCCATCAGAAGACTGAGAAATTAGTCATTAAGGAGACCTGAGAACTAACTCATTAAATGCTAAAGTATTTCATTTTAACACTGTTCAAGAGATCCTTCCAAAATGAACCTTAAATTTGCCTGCTAATTAAAGATTAAATAAAATATAATTAAACCTTTCTTAAAGAAAAAAATTGAATAAATTTAAGTAAATATTTGTTGCTGTGATATGCTATGGATGTGGCTATAGAGGTAACAGATTTTTATATGGTAAATGGCCCTTCCTTTCCCCCCTTATCTCACTGTCCCAGGTTTCTAAACTCTAGTAATTCACACTGATACCTTTGAAGGTGGTTGAACCACAGCACCTCTCTTTCCCGTTCTTTCTTTCTTCCCCCACCCCACCATCTTATACACCACACACACACGCATACACACACACACACTCCATTCTTTCTGTGATCCTATAATCAATTACTGATATTCACAGAAAACCACTGAGTAGAAGAGAGTATACTGTGATACAATGTTGTCTGGTAGGTGATATCTCAACTGTCAAATCCTGTAGGTAAGGGCATATAACAAAATATGGCTTGATTGTGCACACTGACAATTACTGCTGTTATCTGCTAGGTTTTCTTGGTATACCTAAGAGCAGGAATAAAATGGAGGAGAGCAATTGCCCTGTGTAGAGCAGAGGTGTCTGGGCAGTAGACTGCTGTCCATATACATCAGACACAGACGTGCACAGGCATCCCCTTGTTGCAGTCCTGAAAGGAGGATTCAAATATTAAATATCTCATGAAAGCAGAGAAGAGATGAAGGACCACCCAGGCCCCATCTGTGGACACAAACAGGGCCTGGACACAGTCTGGGGATGAATAAAGAGGGAAAAACATCAACATGCAGAACAAAGGAGAAGGACCCACACCCGAGACACTCAGCAGAAGAGCAATACTTTGCAAATGATCTACTGCAGGCTCGTGAAAAATTTTAGAAAATTATTTTTGCACTAACAGTACAAATAAAAGAGTCTTCTATGTACAGTAAAGAATAATACCAGTAAGAGGAATCTTAATGTTTACAGTATAATAAAATAAATGGAACAAAAGCTAATGGAGGTAAGAGAAAAGAGGGTATTTCAGCATTGACCATCATACTTGCAGAAACCTGCTGGATAATGCTTCTGAAAAACTTGAATGAAAACAGCAAATACTAGTAGAATTATGAACAACAGAATGCATTTGTTTTTCCATGATGTTTACTGCGTGCATAGCATGATGCCAGGCTGGAAAAACAGGAACACTCACAAACTTTGGAAGAAAGAAAATATAGCTTGTGTCCAAAATATAAAAGTCAAAGAAGCACAGAATAATAGAAAACCAAATGCATTACATATAATAATAATTTGAATGGATTAAACTCCCTAATGGCCTAAGAATCGACAGGTTAAGAAAAATGAGGAGAAGAAAAATGAAAAGGAGAAAGAAAGAGAGAAAGGAGGAGGGGAAGGTAACACAAAGCAAAGTGTCACTCAAAGAAGTTAAAGAATAGGCCAAGAGGTAGCAGGAACAAAAAAAATACTAAGAACTTTCAGAGGAACAATTCCATTTCCAAGAATCCACCTTAAGTAAGTTATTACTTATGCATTCAAAGAAAAAACTCTAATAGAAGTCATTGGACTCTATAATAGAGGGAAAATGAAAATAATCTAAGTGACTAATAATTAATTAAATAAAATGTTGCATATCCACAAAACAAGATACTATACAGCTATTAAAACTATGTTTTACACCAAAATAGAATGGTATTGGTATAAGAACATGTAGACCAATGAAATGGAATAGAGAACCCAGAAGTAAATCTACATATTTACAGCCAACTGATCATTGACAAAGGTGCCAAGAATATACACTAGGGAAAGGGTACCCTCTTTAATAAACGGTGCTGGGAAAACTGGAAATCCATATGCAGAAGAATAAAACTAAACCCCTATCTCTGACCATATATAAAAATCAATGCAAAATGGATTCAAAGACTTAAATGTTAAGACCTAAAACTATAAAACTAGTAGGAGAGAACAGGGGAAAGGCTTCAGGACCTTGGCCTAGGCAAAGATTTTTTTACTAAAACCTCAAAAACAGACAACAAAAACAAAAATAGACAAATGGGACTATATTAAACTAAAAAGCTTCTGCACAGCAAAGGAAGCGATCCACAGAATGAAGAGACAACCTACAGAATGAGAGAAAATATTTGCAAACTATTCACCCAACAAGGGGCTAATATCCAAAATATACAAGGAACTCAAACAACTTAACAGTAAAATAAACAAGTAATCCCATTAAAAAGTGGGCTAAGGACATGAATAGACATTTCTCAAAACAAGACACACAAATGGCCAACAGGTATATAGGAAAATGCTCGGCATCACTAATCATCAGGGAAATATAAATCAAACCCACAATGAAATATCATCTCATTCCAGTTAGAATGTCTAGTATCAAAGAGACAAAAAATAATAAATGCTAGTGAGGATGCAGAGAAAAGAGAACTCATACACTGTTGGTGGGAATATAAATTAGTACCGCCATTATGGAAAGTAATATGGAGATTTCTCCACAAACTAAAAATAGAAATACCATACAATCCAACAATCCCACTACTGGGTATTTATCCAAAGGAAAGAAAATCAGTATATCAAAATGGTACTTGCACCCCTATGTTTGTCGCAGCATTATTCACCATAGCTGAGATATGGAATAAACCAAGTGTTCATAAATAGATGAACGGATAAAGAAAAGGGGTATATATAGACAATGAAATATTATTCAACCATAAAAAAATGAAATACTGTCATTTCCTGCAACATGGATGGAATTGGAGGTCACTATGTTAAGTGAAATAAGCCAGGTACCGAAAAACAAATGTCACACGTTCTCATTCATATATGAGAGCTAAAAAAGTGTATCTTATGGAGTAGAGAGTCCAAAGATAGATATCAGAGGCTAGAAAATGTTGTGGGGAAGGAATGAAGAGGGGTTGCTTAATGGGTACAAGCATATAGTTAGAAGGTAGGAATAAGTTCTAGTGTTCAGTAGCACAACAGTGACCACAGGTGACAACAATGTATTGTATACTTCATCGTAGCTAGAAGATTTGAAAAGTTTCCAACAAAATAAATAATAAATGTTTGAGGTTATGGATATTTTCAATACCCTTATTTGGTCATTACACATTGTATGCATGTATCAAAATATCACTTGTATCCTGTAAATATGTAAAAATATTATGTATCAATAACAAACATTTTAAATACATTTTTAAGGATAATTAGTGATGTGAGAAAATGCCCTTGATATATTTTACAGGGATTTAAAAACAGGCTACCCATCAGACTACATTATATGATCTGATTTTTTTTTTCAAAAAATAGTCTATTCCATAAACACCAAAAAGTGCAATCCCAGCAAATTACATGCATTCTTTGATACCTCTTTCCTTGCTGCATTTTGTTTCCTGCTCTGTTACCTGTACTTTTGTCAGCAAATAATTTTAAGTTGGCCTACATCTAAATACTTTTAAAACTAAATACTGTCTTTACTTGTTTATTGAAGAAAATATGGAATATAATAGACAAATTAAGGGAAGAAACTGTGCCCCCTGACCCACTCCTCTCCTCCCAAGGAGCACAAATGGGGCCTCCAGCTACCCACCGACTCAAGAGAAAAGTGTGGACACCAGCCTGAGCCCTCTCCTCCCCCTGATTTCACATCTCCAAGTCTTACTGCTTCTTCTTCCAAAATGTCTGGCATCTGTTCTCTTCTGGCATCACCACTGTCACCACCCTGAGCCACCTCACCTCCATTGCCTCTACCTCCCGCCCTTCCCAGCCCAATGCCTCCTTCCAACTCCACATCCCCTCACCCTCATCTCCAAGGCCACATGGACTCCAGAACTGGAGTGATCCTCAAAAGGAAATCAGGCCACATCCCTCCCTTGCTGAGACTCCTCCAGAGGCTCCCTGTGGCCCTGGGATAAATGCCACCAGACACCCTCTCCCCTCTATCAGGCCTGTCCTACAGTTCCCCTTTCTCTGAACCCTTGGATCTCTGGACTCCAGCACCCTAGCCCCGCCCCACCTACCCTGCACCCAGCTCTTAGCCTCTCAGGGCTTTCACAGACGTGCTGCTCCTCTCCTCATCCAACGTGATTCACATTTCAAATCCTAGATTGAATGCCACTTCTGCCTGGAGGCATGCTTTGACTCTACAGTCTAACTAGGTTCTCCCCCAATTATTCTGTCTAAAAACACCATATTGTTTTTCTTTACAGCGTTGATCATGCTTTTTCATTATTGATCTATGTGATTATTTGGGGAATATTTGTTTCCCCCTCCAGACTATGAGTTTTCTACAAACGAGGCCTTGCCTTTTCCATTATCAATGTATACCCAGCACTTAGCACCATGCTGAACACATAAAAATAATAATAGTGATAAAATTTATGTAGCATTTCTTATGCACCAAGCAGATTTTAAAGACTTCAAACACAGTAACTCATTTAACCCTCAAAACAGCCTCATAGTGTAAATGACATTAATTCCCACCTTACAGGTGAGAAAACTGAGGCACAGAGAATTAAATAATTTGTCCAAGGTCTTATTCATAATGAATGGTTGAGCCTGGAGTTGAAGCCACACAGTTTGGCTGCGAACTCCATGCTCTTTATCATTACACTGTACTGCTCCTCATGCTCGATAATTTTTTTCAGTAAATCCTGCCACCCTAAGGAACTACTGTTATTCCAGTCTTCTTCCCATGCATACAGAGAGAGAGAGATAGTGTTTTTTTCCCCATAGGATCGCATTCTGTACAACTTAGACTTCCACTACTTTTAATTAATACTATATAAGTATCAGGATTTTAATGGAGACTTATTATTCCATGATAATAATCTAAATTTATTTCATCATTGTCTTATTTTTTGAGCAAAGGGTACTTTTTCAATTTATTTCTATTTTATTGCTATGTTAAATGACTCTGTAATGACATTCTTAAACATAAATATTGTGTAATGCCTTTTGATAAATTCCATGAAGTAGTTCAAAATATATGAATTTCAAGGATTTTTGAGGTGTATTGAAAAATTGCCTTCCCAAAAGGATGTTGCAGGAGACCCATTCCCCACAGTTAGGCCAAATGAGGCCAGTAAAAGAATGAGTGTTACCCAAAACACCTGTGGGCAGAAAGTATTTACAGCATATTTGGGCTTTCTCCAAATTTAGGTTCTGATTTGAATAATATCAAAATTAATTTACATTCATTGATTAACTGGTTTAAGGAAATGACAACATAAGAGTTTACACAGATAACTAAAGAACTGACTCTACACTAGTATTTGAATAGTACTTATGCTATTAATGATTCTAGCTGCCACCTTTGGGGAGGGTTATCAATTTAGATTTAAACTAAAATTCAAGTTTAAAATTATAATCCAAAATCAGATCTTATTCTTTCCCTTTTCATGTAAGAAACCAAATATACATTTTTATCACCTGCTGCTAGTTCTATACTCTCTCTAAAATTAAGCATTATTTAAAAAGAATTTCCAAAATAGAGACCCAAACAGAAAAACAAGCTGTGTATGTAGGCTAGACCACAGCAATAACACTAATAGGAAGGTATAATTAGACTACATTTAGAGGGTCTACTTGCTTTTCTCCTATATTTCTTTCTGCAAACAACAGGAGGAATATTCCTTGATTGCATTTAAAAAACTGCACCTTTTTATTGCATTGCATTCCTGATGGACTGCAGTGACATCTTGGATCTGACAAGACAGATAGCTTATCCCAGCATCAGATTATGATAAAGTAAGTTTAAAGAAAGTCACCTAAATTCAATATATCCCATAGTAAGAGACAATATAGAAACCACAAATGGGCTGGGTGCGGTGACTCACGCCTGTAATCCCAGCACTTTGGGAGGCCGAGGTGAGCAGATCACTTGAGGTCAGGAGTTCAAGACCAGCCAGGCCAACATGGTGAAACCCCGTCTCTACTAAAAATACAAAAATTAGCCAGACATGGTGGTGTGCACTTATAATCCTAGCTACTGGGGAGGCTGTAGCATGAGAATCACTTGAACCCGGGAGGCAGAGGTTGCAGTGAGCCAAGATCACGCCACTACACTCCAGCCTGGGCGACAGAGCAAGACGTCTCAAAAAAAAAACAAAAACAAAAACAAAACACACACACACACACACACACATACACACACAAATGGAGTAAATTGGAACATAATCAATTAGTGAGGAAGGAAAGAATTAACCCAGAAAAGTTAAGAACTTGACTATTTAAAGTAAACATAAAACAAACCAGAGAAATGGAACACCATGAAAAATGGCATGCCTGTTACATAACATGTTACTTATTTAAATAAAAGTTAGTTGCACAAATGAAATTTTATTATTTGGAATTTTCAATGGCTAGATTATAAATACCAATCCATTTATATGACAAAGAAATACATTATTTATAATACACATGGATTATATCTGTATAGACTTTGTAGGGTTTCTAATCAATGAAATCGGTATTTAGACAGTTTCTGAATTCTTAGAAGTAGAAAGATTTTATTTTAAATGTGCACACCAGCAAAAGAAGCTCCCTGGCACCCCTTGACTTATATTATGACTTCTCATTCAACTCCTCCGTCCAGGTGGCAGCAACTTGCAAGTGAGTTGTACAAATAGAAGGTGCAGGTTAAATCATCCAGAATAGAATAAAGATCTGCTTTCTGGGTATGAAAAAGCATTGTGTTTAAAAACTGTGTGTTAAGAATGATTAAAAAGTTGAATCCTTTTTTAAGAAAAAAAGTCTATATATGAAAGAGTTGTCAGCAGAAATTTGGAAAACCCTAGGAACTGAAGCCTAGAGAGATTTAACTGGATGCTTAAACTCTATGAGTCATAATGGATGTAGATAAATCCCCTGTGTCTATAACAGTCATTCAGGTAAAACTGTCTTTAAAAAAAAAAAAAAAAGGCGAGGACAAGAAAGGGATGAAGGGAAAGGAAAAGCCATGGTTTCCCTGAGATCATATTTTAGTGCCTCTATTTCTGACCACATAGTTTTAAAAAGGGGTAGAACGTCAAGGCCCTGGGGACAACGTGCTGGAAAAAGAAAGACTTCTGAAATGAGTGGGTGCCGCTGAACTCTGTGTGGAGGTGGGAGCCAGAAATTTCTGGTAAGGGCTGTGACTGTGGCTCCAATAACACCTGACCAAAGTGTCTTGAAGCCTGCCACGCTGAGCCTGCTGCAGAGTGTGAAATGCTAGAAATACTGACACAATAATTGCTTTACAGAGCTTGGAAACTCTGCAGGTGAATTAAAGTTAAAAACTGGAGTTTTTCTTTGACTAAGACAAGCAGTAATTGATAACATGGATGATTAGTAAGTGATCTTGCTTAGGCACCTGCCTAAAAACTGTCGTGGTGCTCAAACTGGGCTTTCAGATTACATAGTTTAGTGTTTTCATTATTTTAGCTACAAACATATGTTTTTCAGAAGAAATCTTATGCAGAAAACCATGATAGGTTCGTTAATGAAAAAGAAAACGGCCCAGTTGAGAACTGAAGGCCCAGGCTGGGTGTGGAGGCTCATGACTGTAATCCCAGAATTTTGGGAGGCCCAGGTGGGTGGATCACTTGAAGCCAGGAGTTCGAAACCAGCCTGGGCAACATGGTGATACCCTGTCTTTACTAAAAATACAAAACTTAGCCTGGTGTGCTGGCTGGTGCCTGTAATCCCAGCTACTCAGGAGGCTGAGCCAGGAGAATCACTTGAACCCAGGAGGCGAAAGTTGCAGTGAGCCGAGATAACACCCCTGCACTCCAGCCTGGGCAACAGAGCAAGACTTTGTCTTAATTAATTAATTAATGGAAGACCCAGAGCTCATCCACTTGGCCCCAACTAGTTCAACAGTACCCAACTTGACTCCACGAACACAGTTTGAAAGCCACTAATCTGGTCCAGAACTTTCATTTTATGAATGAAGAAAAGTCAGAGAGACACAGAGAAAGACATGTTCAGTGCGGTACCCAGGCCCACACAGGTAGAACCAGAGTTGGAAGTTAGTAACTCTAAGCCCTGGCTGAGTGTTTTTCCCTATAACACAATTCTGCTAACAAAGGTATTTCTTCATGTCTTGTTTCAGTTTCTATTTCCTCTTCTTATCCACATGTAGAGATATCCAATTCATATATGGGCAATATTTTCAATATTTTAATATGGAAGCTTATTTTGAAAAATGTTAAGCAAATACATGACAAATTCTTTGAGTCACAAACATTTCTGTGACAACTCACCTTGATACTTGACGGAAAATCCATTGACGAGGTGCCACAGACACGCTGGTGAGGAGACACTGTGGACCTCAGCAGGGCTTACCTTGCAAATCCAACCTATTTTAGTGTCCAAAATTGTCAAACTTAGTTACTTAGCTAAAGAAATAAATTAGCATCTTTTTTCTAAAAGTATAAAGACAGTGAATTAATGTCTTCAATATGCTGAGGGCAAAATAACTGACAACCAAGAGAACTGATACTCATCTGCTATGGTAAATGTGTTGCCTCCAAAGTCCAGGTGTTGCCACTGTGATGGTAGTAAGAGGTGGGGCCTTTAAGAGGTGATTAGGCCATGAGGATTCTTCCCTCCTGAATGTTATTAAGGCCCTAATCAAAGAGGCTTCAGGCAACGTTCGGCTTTCTTGCCCTTTCGCCTTTAGCCATGTGAGACCCTGTTTCTCCCCGCCTCAGGATGCAGCCCTCACCAGGCAACTGAACCTACTGGTACTTTGATCTTGGACTTCCCAGCTTCCAGAACTGTAAGAAACAAATTTCTGTTCTGTATAAATTACCCACTCTGTACTATTCTATTATAACAGTACAAATGGACCAAGACATCATCCAAATTATCATTTAAAAGTAAAGACAGCTGGGTGCGGTGGCCCACACCTGTAATCCCAGCACTTTGAGAGGACAAAACAGGAGGATTGCTTGAGGCCGGGAGTTCAAGACCAGCCTGGGCAAGATAGTAAGACCTCCACCTCTACAAACATAAGAAAATTAAAATTAATTACAAAAAAGAGTAAAAACAACATAAAGACATTTCTAGACATATGAAGACTAGGGGAATGTACCATCCAAGAACATTGTTTAAAAAAATAGAAAGAAAGAAAGAGGCTGGGCATAGTGTCTCATGCCTGTAATCCCAGCACTTTGGGAGGCTGAGGTGGGAGGATTGCTTGAGACCCTGTGAAAGGAAAGAAATAAAAGAAGGAAGGAAGGAAGGAAGGAAGGAAGGAAGGAAGGAAGGAAGGAAGGAAGGAAGGAAAGAAAGAAAGAAAGGAAGGAAGAAAGAAAGAAAGAAAGAAAGAAAGAAAGAAAGAAAGAAAGAAAGAAAGAAGAAAGAGGGAAAGGGATTCAGCAAGAAAAAAAGCAAATGTTGAAAATGTAGTATAAAACTTTGCTAAAAAGTTAATAATTCAATTCAATAGTAGCCATAGAAATAACAACTAATCACTCTACATGTGTTGAGCCTGTTATTGTAATTGGCAGAAGGAAATAAAGAATAACTGCAGCCTATGGTTAAGCAAGTACCTGTAAGATTAAGAGTAATCACTAAACACCAGAAATGTACTTTGCAACTTTCAAATAATCTGAAGCAAAAGAAATATTAAAAACTGTATTAATACAAAAAAAAGGTAGGAAAAGGAGAAGGGAGGCAAAGAAAAAAGATAGTGAACAGGAAACACAAAATAAGATGGTATAAATAAATTTGAATACACAAGTAATCATAAAGGTTGTACATGAATTAAGCTCATCAATCAAAGACAATATTCTATAGATTTTTTTAAAACTCTGATAATATACTGCTTCTAAGAGATATATCTAGAGCAAAACCACACGGAAAAATAAAAATGAGGGACTATAAAAATATATACCCCTCAAACACTACATGTTCTCACTCATAAGTGGGAGTTGGGCAATGAGAACACATGGACACAGGGAAGGGAACATCACACACCAGGGCCTGTTGGGGGTGGGAGGCAAGGGGAGGAAGAGCATTAGGACAAATACCTAATGTATGCGGGACTTAAAACCTAGATGACGGGCTGATGGATGCAACAAGCCACCATGGCACCTGTATACCTATGTAACAAACCTGCACGTTCTGCACATGTATCCCAGAACTTGAAGTATAATAATAAAAAAAAAATATGTATACCCCTCAAATACTAGACAAAATAAAGTTGACATAGCAATGTTAATATCACACAAATAGATCTAAAGTCCAAAAGACATTCATACAAATACATAGGGATAGTGTATAGTAACAACAGACATAATTCAACATAAATATAATAAACATGAAATTATTGTACTTATCATTTCTTTAAAATATATAAAGAAAAATTGGTGAAATTACATGGAAATACTGATGAATGTATAATCATAGGGGGGAATCAGTACCAGTTAGAATGTAGAAGTTTGGCACAGCAGAATTAACGAGCTTGATCTCATAACTATAAAGAGATTTCTACACCCAAAGACTATATTATCTTTTTATAAACATATAGAACACTTACCAATATTAACATGATACCGGGATTTGAAAGAACTTAAGTCATACATATAAACCCCACTGATAGCCATATAATTAAATTAGAAGTCAATGTTGCAAAGTGACAAAAACATAACTAAAGTACGTGTTTGTATACCTTAAAATGAATTTTTATATAAAGTCTGAATTGATAAAAAATTACTACATATTAAAACATGGACAAAGCTAATTTACTATTTAAAAATAAATTCAATAGCATTAAATTCATTTACTAGAAAACAGAAAGATTAAACTAAACCCAAGAAGCTAGAAAAATAACTGAAAAGTAAATCTAAAGATATAAAAGCTAGAAAATAATAAGACTGTAACAATTAAAGAAACAGAAACAATTTATACAAAGGATAACATAAATTCCAAAGCTGATTCTTTGAAAAGCTAATAAGCAGACAGATTGCTAGCAAGTTGGATCAAAAATAGAAGATGAAGGTAATACAAAAAGGAGACAAAAATACAGAGTAGATGTTAAATATTATAGGAGAGCACTATAAACGTTATGAAATAAATTTGATACTTAAAAAAAAGACACATTTCTAGAAAATTTTAAATGTCTAAAGTTGACCCCAGAAGGAACAGAAAAGGTGAAAAAACAAATAATCATGGAAGAAACTGCATTGGTAATAAAAAGTTCCTCAAATCAAGACTCTGGAGCCAAAATATAAGAGAATTTCCCTAACCTTTAAGAAACAAAGAAACAAACAAAACTTTTATCATCCAGTAGATTCTGAAAACAGAAAACGAGAGAAATTATCCAATTTATTTTATGAAGTTAATAAAATGAGAATATCAAAACTGGGTAAGTCAGTATAAGAAAAGAAAGTTATGCAGCAATCATTTTAGTAAGCATAAACGGAAAGACCCCCCAAAAAATCAGAAAAATTAATTCCAGCAGTGTATAAAATAATTATTAACTTTTAAATATACACCATATTAAGAGTTTTTTAAAACTCATCATTTCAATAGATGCAAACAAAGAAAAGTAACACAATTCAACCAATTGTCAATAATTGTTGACAAACATGCTTAGCAAACTAAAAATAAGTAAGTTGTCTTTCTAGCAGATACACTTTACTGGGAAGTTACACGAGCATTATACCTAATGGTAAGACTTTAATACACATTTCTACCAAAATCAAAAATGATACAAACGTGGTTATCACCACTTCCATCCACCATTATGCTAGAGGTCGCAGATTCTTAGTAAAGCAATAAACTGTATCAAGTTTATTCACAGGTGATATGATTATCAGCCAGGCTTGGTGGCTCACACCAGTAATCCCAGCACTTTGGGAGGCCAAGGTGGGTGGATCCCCTGAGGTTGGGAGTTCAAGGCCAGCTTGGCCAACATGGTAAAACCCCATCTCTACTAAAAATACAAAAATTCGCCGGGCGTGGTGGCGGGCGCCTGTAATCTCATCTACTGGGGAGGCTGAGGCAGGAGAATTGCTTGAACCTGGGAGGCGGAGGTTGCAATGAGCCGAGATCTCACCACTGCACTCCAGCAAGGGCGACAGAGCAAAATTCCATCTCAAAAAAAAAAAAAAAAAGAAACCTGAAGGATTTCAAAGTTAAACACATCAGTTATTTCTATTTTCCTCCAAATAAATCTATAAATTCAAAATTAAAGTCCCAAGCAAGGTTTATCATGGAACACTATGGAAGATGCTTAGATTTGTTTCTAGAGAAAACTGAAAGGCCTAAAATAGGCAAGAGAGTGTTGAAGGCTAACAAAGTTGGGAGACTTCCTTACCATATATCAAGAATTATTAAAAAACCATAATGATTAGGAAACTTGGATATTTGTGTAGGAACAGACAAGTGATCTTATGGAAAAGAATAGAGAGCCTAGGTAGAGAAACATGCCTATGTAGAAACCGGATTATTGTAGAGGTGGCAGCACAACTCTATGAGGGAAGGATAAACAAGTTACTAAAAGGTACGGGGATAATTGATTATAACTGGAAGGATGTCAACCCACAGCTCACACTAAATACTAAGTTCAATTCAAGACGATTACAGATCTAAATGGGAAAAGCAAAACTCCTAAAAGTTTTAGAAGAAAATATAGAAATAAACATATGTGGACTTGGAGTAGAAAAGAATTTCTTAGACAAGATAAAAAACATAAAATCAAAAAGAAAAGATTCATGTCAGATCGATTTGAAATAAAAATGTCAGTTCAACAAAAAATATAATAAATTAAAAGACGAGCTGCCGTCTGAGAGAAAATATTTGCAACATATAATTGACAAATCATTATAAATGAAAAAAATATAAAGAACTCCTAAGAAATTCTTTTCCAGAAAGAAAAAAAAAGGCAACCTAATGGAATGTGAGGAACGGTGAATCACCAAACAATATGAATAGTTAATTCATTGAAGAAGACAACCAAAAGTTGAATAAATATGTGTAATGATGCTAAGCTCACCAGCAATCAGGGAGGCATACGTTAAACAAGGTATTATTTCCCACACATACAATTGGCAAACATTTTATAGTCGGACAAACAAAATTCTGGTGAGAAAATGGAAAAATAAAGCTCTCCTATTCTATAAGTGGGAATGTAAATTATCAACATTCAAAGAGCAATTTCAACATATCTACACTCATGACCCAGCAATTCCACTCCTGTGGCTATTCCCTAAAACAGTAGTTCCAAATCTTTTTTTATCTCAGGAATCTTTTACATTCTTAAAAATTATTGAGAGTCCCAAAGAGCTTTTATTTAGGTGGGTTATATCTAATATTGTAATATTAGAAAGTAGAAATGAGAAATTTTTAAATATTAATGAGTTTGAAAATACCAGTAATATACCTATTACATGTTAAGATAAATAACATTTTTATGAAAAATAATTATATTTTTCAAAACCAAAAAATTTAGTGAGATTTTTGCCAACCTCTTTAAATCTGGCTTAATTAAATACAGCTGAATTATCAGATTTGCTCCTGCATTTAGTCTATTAAATTATGTTGTTTTTGTTGAAGTAGATGAAGAAAATTTAGTCTTGTATTTGGAATAGATCTTTTACCCATGCATAATTTTGTAACATCATGGATTGATCATTTAGGAAATAATTGGTTTATTGAGTTACACAAATCCTCCAAGTGTGGACATACTTTATCATATGATATCAGAAAGTAATGTTCTTTGTTAATATTATCACTGATCTCATCTGAAAAAGTCCTTAAGTACTAGGAAGCCATCAGGCTATGGTGGCAGGTTTTACCAAAACCCCAATTTTTTTCTTAAGAGCTCAAATTTTATCATTGGAAACAAACATTGCCAATTTTCCTTGAAGTGAAACTCTCACTTCACTCATTTTTGAGAAAATGTCTGTGATACAGTCTGAATGTGTCTCCCAAAATACATGTATTAAAACTTAATGCCAATGTGATAGTATTAAGGGGTAGGCCCTTTAGAAGGTGATTAAGTAATTAGGGTGCAGGAATATAAATAAGATTGCTTCAAAGAGAATAAAATACTTAGGAATCCAACTTACAAGGGATGTGAACGACCTCTTCAAGGAGAACTACAAACCACTGCTCAATGAAATAAAAGAGGATACAAACAAGTGGAAGAACATTCCATGCTCATGGGTAGGAAGAATCAATATCGTGAAAATGGCCATACTGCCCAAGGTAATTTATAGATTCAATGCCATCCCCATCAAGCTACCAATGACTTTTTTCACAGAATTGGAAAAAACTACTTTAAAGTTCATATGGAACCAAAAAAGAGCCCGCATCACCAAGTCAATCCTAAGCCAAAAGAACAAAGCTGGAGGCATCATGCTACCTGACTTCAAACTATACTACAAGGCTACAGTAACCAAAACAGCATGGTACTGGTACCAAAACAGAGACATAGATCAATGGAACAGAACAGAGCCCTCAGAAATAACACCGCATATCTACAACTATCTGATCTTTGACAAAGCTGAGAAAAACAAGCAATGGGGAAAGGATTCCCTATTTAATAAATGGTGCTGGGAAAACTGGCTAGCCATATGTAGAAAGCTGAAACTGGATCCCTTCCTTACACCTTATACAAAAATTAATTCAAGATGGATTAAAGACTTAAACGTTAGACCTAAAACCATAAAAACCCTAGAAGAAAACCTAGATATTACCATTCAGGACACAGGCATGGACAAGGACTTCATGTCTAAAACACCAAAAGCAATGGCAACAACAGCCAAAATTGACAAATGGGATCTAATTAAACTAAAGAGCTTCTGCACAGCAAAAGAAACTACCATCCGAGTGAACAGGCAACCTACAAAATGGGAGAAAATTTTCGCAACCTACTCATCTGACAAAGGGCTAATATCCAGAATCTACAATGAACTCAAATTTACAAGAAAAAAACAAACAACCCCATCAAAAAGTGGGCAAAGGATATGAACAGACACTACTCAAAAGAAGACATTTATGCAGCCAAAAGACACATGAAAAAATGCTCATCATCACTGGCCATCAGAGAAATGCATATCAAAACCACAATGAGATACCATCTCACACCAGTTAGAATGGCGATCATTACAAAGTCAGGAAACAACAGGTGCTGGAGAGGATGTGGAGAAATAGGAACACTTTTACACTGTTGGTGGGACTGTAAACTAGTTCAACCATGGTGGAAGTCAGTGTGGCGATTCCTCAGGGATCTAGAACTAGAAATACCATTTGACCCAGCCATCCCATTACTGGGTATATACCCAAAGGACTATAAATCATGCTGCTATAAAGACACATGCACACGTATGTTTATTGTGGCACTATTCACAATAGCAAAGACTTGGAACCAACCCAAATGTCCAACAATGATAGACTGGATTAAGAAAATGTGGCACATATACACCATGGAATACTATGCAGCCATAAAAAATGATGAGTTTATGTCCTTTGTAGGGACATGGATGAAATTGGAAATCATCATTCTCAGTAAACTATCACAAGGACAAAAAACCAAACACCGCATGTTCTCACTCATAGATGGGAATTGAACAATGAGAACACATGGACACAGGAAGGGGAACATCACACTCTGGGGACTGTTGTGGGGTGGGGGGAGGGCGGAGGGATAGTATTAGGAGATATACCTAATGCTAAATGACGAGTTAATGGGTGCAGCACACCAGCATGGCACGTGTATACATATGTAACTAACCTGCACACTGTGCACATGTACCCTAAAACTTAAAGTATAATAATAATAAAAAAATAAAAATAATAAAAAATAAAAAAATAAATTTAAATGTGAGATTAAAAAAAAAAGAAAAAAAGAAAACTTACCTTGAGTAGGGGAATATATGGCTCTTAGTAACAACATGGGAAGTTTCATTATTACAATTCAGTCACAACAAGAAAAGCCAACAGTACAGAAGCAAGTTATATGGGAGGAAGACATTGTTTTTCTAGGCCTTCAGTATAAACATTTCAGGGCTGGGCACAGTGACTCATGCCTATAATCCCAATGTTTTGGGAGGCCAAAGCAGAAGGATCACTTGAGGCCAGGAGTTTGAGACCAGCCTGGACAATATGGAGTGAGACTCCATCTCTACAACATATATTTTTTTTTTGAGACGGAGTCTTGCTCTGTCGCCCAGGCTGGAGTGCAGTGGCACAATCTCAGCTCACTGCAAGCTCCAACTCCCAGGTTCATGCCATTCTCCTGCCTCAGCCTCCCGAGTAGCCGGAACTATAGGTGCCTGCCACCATGCCTGGCTAATTTTTTATGTTTTTAGTAGAGACAAGGTTTCACTGTGTTAACCAGGATGGTCTGGATCTGCTGACCTCATGATCCGCCCGCCTCGGCCTCCCAAAGTGCTGGGATTACAGGCGTGAGCCACCGCGCCCAGCACAACATATTTTTAAAACACAAGTTGGGCATGGTGGAAAGCGCTCTAGTCCTAGCTACTGAGGAGGGTGAGGTGGGAGGATTGCTTGAGCTCAGGAGTTTGAGGTTACAGTGAGTTGCATTCTAGCCTGGGCGACAGAGAGAGACTCTGTCTCTATTTTTTTAAAAAATGTAGCATCGGGCCATAATAGCAGAGTTAGAACCAGAGAAAAAGATACAAAAACTGACAAAAAGTTTGAAAGTGAGAGTTATCACCCTAGCCAATCAAAAAGATACGCCTTTTAAGGGGAGAAAGCAGAGATGAAGGCAATAACGCATGCCCTGCAAACCATGTGCAGCAAGGTACAGCAAGTGGTGAACCCCTGAGATACGAATGTGAGAAGTCTCTAAAAGAAAAAATTTACCTTGAAAAACTAAATTACCATTCTGAATGGAAAAGATAGCATTTCCAACCTGAAACTAGGGAAATCAAATAAGATCTCAGGAAATGTGGCAGAAATAGAAACTGCAGTTTAGAAGACGGCCGTTAAAGAAACACATTTCAGTGGCCAGGCACGGTGGCTCACGCTTGTAATCCCAGCACTTTGGGAGGCCAAGGCAGGCAGATCACTTGAAGTCAGGAGTTCAAGACCAGCCTGGCCAACATTGTGAAACCCATCTCTATTAAAAATATAAAAATTAGCTGGGTGTGGTGATGGGTGCTTGTAATCCCAGCTACTCAGGATGCTGAGGCAGGAGAATCACTTGAACCCAGGAGGTAGAGGTTGCAGTGAGCCGAGATTGTGCCACTGCACTCCAGCCTGGGTGGCAGTGAGTAAGCCTCCATCTCAAAAAAAAAAAACACATTTTAGAATTTAAAAACCTCTTGCAATCTTACTAACAGCACATCAATACATTAAAAAAAACTTGTTCTAACATAAGGCACCAAAGTTTTATTTTTGTATTAGTGTATTTTTAATATCAAAACTGTCTTTAGAAAGACATAAATAATTCCTTTATAATTAAAGCCAACTCAATCACACACACAATTCCTTACACAAAGTTTTCTTCATGAACCTTTTTATGACACTCAGACCTCAACAACATGCTTGGACTTTCTGCTTTGTCCTATACTTCCTCTTTTTTAAAATAACCAGTCATTTGACATTAGAACAAAAATTTATCATAAATTTATTTTCTTTTCTTTTTTACCCTCCATACCAAAAATACATCTTTATACCCATAACTTTCTTCACATCTTTCCTACTTACTGGTTCCTATTTTGTTTCTTTTTTTAAAAAATCCATATTTTGAAACAACTTTTACATAACCTCTAGATTTGAAAAATAATTATTTTTTTCAATAAAGAACATATTTCATGCCCTTCTTATAGTGTTTGTGATCAAAAACATCTTTTGGGACATATTTTATATAGACAGTTATATATATTAATTAGAGCTTTAACACTTGAGAACCTTAATTTTTAGCAAGCAATTTAGAACTATTTGTCACATGGTAGTATTTTATAGATGAGAACCATTTCATAAATTTTAAAAACATGTTTTCCCATAGCATAATTTTTATGAGTATTAATAGATGCAAATATATTTAATCTTTTTTCATTATACTTTAAGTTTTATGGTACTTGTGCACAACGTGCAGGTTTGTTACATATGTATACATGTGCCATGTTGGTGTGCTGCACCCATTAACTTGTCATTTAACATTAGGTATATCTCCTAATGCTATCCCTCCCCCCTCCCCCTACCCTACAACAGGCCCCGGTGTATCAATGAGATACCATCTCACACCAGTTAGAATGGCGATCATTACAAAGTCAGGAAACAACAGGTGCTGGAGAGGATGTGGAGAAATAGGAACACTTTTACACTGTTGGTGGGACTGTAAACTAGTTCAACCATTGTGGAAGTCAGTGTGGTGATTCCTCAGGGATCTAGAACTAGAAATACCATTTGACCCAGCCATCCCATTACTGGGTATATGCCCAAAGGATTATAAATCATGCTGCTATAAAGACACATGCACACGTATGTTTATTGTGGCACTATTCACAATAGCAAAGACTTGGAACCAACCCAAATGTCCAACAATGAAATTTAATCTTTTTGTAAAATGTAAGAAGCCAAGAACAAACATATTTATGTTCAGTAATTCATTTTAGTTATTTTTATCTGATTTGGAAATGACCCAGGCAGTTAATGAGTATCTATTATTTAATTTAACATAACTTTAATATTTTAAATTATATGAAAAGCTATAGGTATTCATCCTATTTACATTTATCTAATTTATTTAATTTTTAACAGCTTACCTAGATTACATATGAAAACTGAGATATTAGACAAGCTAGTCGTCATTTCAAGTTATTTCCCATTAACCATTTTTATAGCCTATGAATATCAATTGCTCACCTAAGTAAGAAACTTAAAGTTAAATATATGGGTATTTTGTCAATAATTTAGAAGATACAGTTGTTTTCCTTACACCAACAATATTAAATTAGTCTTATGTATTAAAGAATTACACAAAGATCATTCTGTTTTAGGCTAGGTTCATAGTTTTATCACCTTTATGTCAAACCCTGACATCTTATAACATCTAACAGAGACAAATATAAAATTGACTGACCAGTAAATCCAGGCAAAAATGTATGCTGACAATTCTGAAAACATTTCTGTTTTTTTTATTTTAGACATAATTTTATTTTGAAATAATTTCAAACAAAAGTTTCAAGAAGAGTACAAAGAACTTTCTTATAGCCTTTGCCCAGATTCATCAATTGTTAATGTTTTGCCACATTTGCTCTATTATCTTTCTCTCTGAATCATTTGAAAGTAAGCTTCAAACATCAAGCCCCTTTATTTTGTCAGAGATGAAAAATGATTCCTCTACCCTCTTAGGTTTTTTCCTTGGAGGCCTGCAAATTAAACTGATAAAGGACAGATTAGCAAGAAAAATAAACATTGAATGATGTTGGTAGGCATGGGAATTCACAAGGAAATGTGACTCAAGAAGATGATTAGAATTTTGGACTAATATAACACCTTTTATTTATTTATTTTTGAGACAGGGTCTCACTCCGTCACCCAGGTTGGAGTGCAATGGTGCAATCTTGGGCTCAAGTGATTCATCCACCTCAACCTCCCAAGTAGCTGAGACTTCAAGTGCACGCCACCACAGGCAGCTAATTTTTGTATTTTTTGCAGAGACAAAGTTTCACTATGTTGCCCAAGCTGGTCTCGAACTGCTTAGTTCAACCAACCCACCCATCTCAGTCTCCCAAAGTCCTAGGATTCAGATGTGAGCCCCCATGCCCAGCCCTTATATACCATCTTAATTGGGGATGGGGAGGATCAGAGGACACTTCTGGGAGAACCAATAACTTCTTAGAAAGGGTTTGGGGAAAGGGCACTTACGGAAAAACAAATGATTTTTTTGAAAGACAAATGGGCCTTTAGGAGAGTAGATAGGAGATATGATAATTTGATGACAATGTCTACTTGGGTGAGGTGACAATTTCTCATCTCCATCTAAGTCACTCTCGGGGAGGGGATTTATGGCAACTGAGTTTTTTGTTGGTAGGTTCTGCTTTTAGACAGATAAGAGATTTCAGGAACTCAAATGCCTTCGGGCCCAAATAATTAATGACACAATGGCTTCTTCTGGACCCCTTCAACTTCCATACTGCAGCCTGTGTTGCCTGAGAACTTAGGTAAACACAGAACATTGTCAAAATCAGGACATTCAATGCTATTAGCCCAGAGCTGAGCACCCTGTGCCTGTTCCTCAAGTGCCTCTCGGCTGGCATTTTTTGTTTAGAAAAGAGGTTGGCTAAGCTTCTTGCAGCTATGTGAGGACTCTGTCTTAGCAAAGATTTCTAAAGTGTCTACTCTGTGCCAAATAGTGTTCTAGACACATGACTCAAGTGATGTTTGATAGCCACATGAGGTTCTCCATCAAACCCACAGACCTATTTTTATTTTACCAATAACTTTTAAACCAGTTAGTTATTGTAGATTTACTTAAGTCACATGAACCAAAAAGCATTTGGGTTAATTACTATATATTTTATGTTCTATATGAGTGTTCATTTATTTAAGCCAATCTGAATACAATTTCTTAAGGCCTTTTTGGCTGACTATACTGGATTTTATCACGTAGAAACAACATACAATATAATACATGTACATATGCATAAACACACCTAAACTTATATACACACACAAAGATCTTATGGCTTTCCTTTCAGAATTTTTGTCATAATATAGTAATATAAACTCACCAGTTTAAAAAAGACAATTGGATCCAAATTATATTTCTCATAAAATTGGGACTTGTTCACATGTTTAACTTTTTTATTTTATTTTACTTTATTGAAACAGAGTCTAGCTCTGTAGCCCAGGCTGCAGTGCAGTGGCCTCATCCCGGCTCACTGCAACCTCCACCTCCCAGGTTCAAGCGATTCTCCTGACAGCCTCCCGAGTAGCTGGGATTACCGGCACATGCCACCACAATTTTTGTATTTTTAGTAGAGATGATGTTTCACCATGTTGGCCAGGCTGGTCTTGAATTCCTGACCTCAAGTGATCCGCCCACCTCAGCCTCCCAAAGTGTGGGATTACAGGTGTGAGCCACTGTGCATCACATGGCTAAACTTTATTTGTCCTGATAGGTAATCTAATGAAGGCTGTGGACCAAAATTTTGGGTAAAGCTGTTTCTGTGGCCGGTGGGAGAAAAATTTGCAGCAGTTTTTGTTTGTTTTCTGGCTTTTTCCTTTTGCTTCCTGCATGACACATGTAGTGAAATTTTTATGCCATATAGACATACTTTATATTATTGCTCTGACTTCAATATTTTGACCAATTTGATCTGAGACCCTAACTTTTATAAACATTTATCTAGTTCTTTTTTATTAGCTATCATCCGAGGCAATTTTTAGTCAAGCAAACCTAAATTTATATTTCTTAAAGGTGTCTAAGTTGTTGGTTACCATGGAACTTTTGTAATTTGTAAAGCAATTAATTTGGAAGCCCTTTAAGATTTTTATTTTATCTTGGCTGGAGTACCATAAGCAGTGAGTCTTATCTCACCATTAGAAAATTCAACATATTCAAAGTAGACAGGTAAAAAAAAATAGAGAGGTAGACAAAGAACTTAGAAGGCTCTACATATTAAGTCTATAGTTGCAGGGTTTTTTGAGAGTTTGAATGATGATCACTGAGCTCTGAATTTTTATTGATGTGATTTTGCCCATCAGTTTAAAAATATGCACAAGAACAGGCCATAATATGCAGCCAGGTGGAATCCTAAAATATCTGGCATGCCTTAATGTTTGAAAATCCCATACCATTTCCTTTTAGCCTCTTGATAGGTTAATAAGATAATGATAATCTCATCTTGAATTGTGGCTCCCATAATCCCCACATGTGGTTGGAGGACCTGGTAGGAGGTAATATAATCATGGGGGCTGTTTCCTCAATGCTCTTCTTGTGATAGTAAGTTCTCATGAGATCTGATGGTTTTATAAGGAGCTTCCCCCTTTGCTCAGCTCTCATTCTCCTTCCTGCCATCATGTGAAGAATGACGTGTATTCTTCCCCTTCCGCCATGATTGTAAGTTTCCTGAGGTCTCCCCAGCTATGTTGAACCATGAATCAATTAAACCTCATTCCTTTATAAATTACCCAGTCTTGTGTATGTCTTTATTAGCAGCATGAGAAAAGACTAATGCTGCAGAGAGTGGGGTGCTGCTATAAAGATACCTGAAAATGTAGAAGATACTTTGGAACTGGGTAACAGGCAGAGGTTGGAACAGTTTGAAGTAATCAGAAGAAGACAGGAAAATGTGGGAAAGTTTGGACTTTCCTAGAGAGTTGTTAAATGGCTTTGACCAAAATGCTGATAGTGATGTGGACAATGAAGTCCAGGCTGAGGTGGTCTCAGATGGAGATGAGGAACTTGTTAGGAACTGGAGTAAAAGTGACTCGTGTTATGCTTTAGCAAAGAGACTGGTAGCATTTTGCCCCTGCCCTAGAGATCTGTGGAACTCTGAACTTGAGAGAGATTATTTAGGGTACCTGGCAGAAGAAATTTCTAAGCAGCAAAGCATTCAGGAAAAAACAGAACATAAAAGTTTTGGAAAATTTGCAGCCTGACAATGCAATAGAGAAGAAAAAAAACATTTTCTGGAAAGAAATTCAAGCCAGCTTCAAAAATTTGCATAAATAATGAGGATCCCAATGTTAATCACCAAGACAATGGGGAAAATGTGTCCAGGACATGTCAGAGACCATGGCAGCCCCTCCCATCACAGGCCCAGAGGACTAGGAGGAAAATAATGGTTTCATGGGCTAGGCCCGGGGCCTCCATGCTATGTGCAGCCTAGGAACTTGGTGCCCTGAGTCCCAGATGCTCCAGCCATGGCTAAAAGGTGCCAAGGTACAGCTCGGCCCATGGCTTCAGAGGATGCAAGCCCCAAGCCTTGGCAGCTTCCACATGGTGTTGAGCCTGTGGGTGCACAGAAGTCAAGAATTAATATTTAGGAACCTCCACCTAAATTTAAGAGGAAGTATGGAAATGCCTGGATGTCCAGGCAGAAGTTTGCTGCAGGGGCAGAGCTCTTATGGAGAACCTCTGCTAGGGCAGTGCAAAAGGGAAATGTGGGTTCGGTGCCCCTACGCAGAGTCCCCACTGGGGCACTGCATAGTGGAGCTGTGAAAAGAGGGCCACTGTCCTCCAGACCCTAGAATGGTAGATTCACCGACAGCTTGCACCATGCACCTAGAAAAGCCACAGACACTCAACACCAGCCATGAAAGCAGCCGGGAGGGGGGTGTACCCTGCACAGCCACAGGGGCAGAGCTTCTCAAGGCCATGGGAGCCCACCTCTCACATTAGCATGACCTGGATATGAGACATGGAGTCAAAGGAGATCATTTTGGAACTTTAAACTTTAATGACTGCACTGTTGGATTTTGGACTCGCATGGGGCCTGTAGCCCCTTTGTTTTGGCCAATTTTTCCTATCTAGAATGGCTGTATTTACCCAATGCCTGTACCTTCATTGTATCTAGGAAGTGACTACTTGCTTTTGATTTTACAGGCTCATGGGTGGAAGGGGCTTGCCTTTTCTCAGATGACTCTTTGGACTTGGACTTTTGGGTTAATTCTGGAATGAGTTAGAATTTGGGGGACTGTTGGGACGGCATGATTGTGTTTTGAAGTGTGAGGACATGAGATTTGGGAGGGGTAAGTGGTGGAAATGATATGGTTTGGCTATGTCCCCACCCAAATCTCATTTTGAATTTTAGTTCCCGTAATCCCCACACGTGGTGGAAGGGATCCAGTGGCAGGTAATTGAATCAGGGGGTGGTTTCCTCTGTGCTGATAGTGAGTGAATTCTCACAAGATCTGATCATTTTATAAGGGGCTTTTCCCCCCTTTGCTGTGCACTTCTCCTTCCTACCACCATGTGAAGAACGTGTTTGCTTCCCCTTCTGCCACAATTGTAAGTTTCCTGAGGCCTCCCCAGCCCTGCAGAACTGTGAGTCAGTTAAACCTCTTATGCTTTTGTACAAGCAGGTGTAATCATTTCAGTATTATTTGTATAAGAACAAATTGGAAACAATCCAAATGTCCATCAACATGAGAATGAATAAATAAAATAGTGTACATTTATTCAAGGGCACACTAAATAGCGTTTAAGGCTGAATGCACTAAAGATATATCCATCAACACGAATAATTTTCAACACCATAATGTTGAATCAAAAACAGCTGAAGAATAAGTATAGTATCATGCCACTAATAAAAAGTTTAAAATTTAAAAAAAACCATATCATACACTATCATATATTTTATAATTATATTATAGTAAAAGTACAAAAACATATCTGGGAAGGATAAATATTGAATTAATCATAATAGTGGGAAAAAAATGAGATCAAGGAGAAGTTTGTAAGGGCAATTAATTGCCCCAATGTTTTATATCACCAAAAAATATCTGAAGCAAATATGGAATCATGTTAAGACTTAATCAAGATGTGTGGTAGATATGTATGTATACTTTACATTAACAACTATTCATGTGTGGATGCTTGAAATCTTTCATAATTTAAAAAACATCTTCTAAAATAAATTAACTTTAGGTTTATGATTTTTTAAATGAAGAGTCTTCTCTGCTTTTTAAAATCACATTAATAAACATAAAATATAATTAAATTGATGTTCCTTAAATTTAGATGTGGAGAAGAATTAAAATTTTAAAAACAGAAAAATTATATTGATAAAAGGATTCTCTTCAGAAATCGAGGCAGAGGAACAGGCATTTCCCTGACATCACCAGAAACGTTATACAAGCGGAGAGAAATACTCTGGGATGATTACCAACATTGACACTGTTCCATTATTGATCCCAGCCCACAGGCTACTTGTTTATTAGTGAAATTCACCATGGTTAACTCACATTGATGACTTTGGAAAAAAAGAGAAGCATCCTGGGGGAGGGAGATGGAACAGGGATGAGAAGAAGTTGCCTCATTGTGAATGAGGACCCAATGGCATAGTAGGAAAACCATCATGCTATGTTTAAGCCCTGAAAATTTTCACAAAATATTAATAGGAATTAATCTTCTTTCCTACTATAATTTAAATTCAATGAACTTTAATCTTAAGTGTGAAGTCTAAACTCTTTCCTAAGTAAGAAGTTTTTTGCATATATTGATTTGCCACACGTATATCTAATTTTTTGTTATTAAAGAGATAGTATTATATTCTTCAAATATAACTAATGATTCCTTGATTAATCAAGAAAAGAATAAGCAACCCTTTTGATTCCCTTCCTTATCTTTTTATCTAGCTCTCATTTCATTATTAATAGGACAGTTCCCAGAATGTGGGCAGAAAAGGGGAAAGGATATTAAACATAATTACAGGAATTTTGACATAAGTAGAAATTGAAGCTATTAAATATTTTAATTTTATGGTAACATATTGATCTTATGTATTCGTTTTCTGTATTTTATTCTATCCCAGCAATTCACTTATAGTTAATTTTGGTATTAAGTATCCCATCATATTTATAAATGCCCTGCATATTATTTACAAACACCTTATGCCAAAGATGGAGCATTTAAGATGTGGATCAGTTGATGAGCTCTATAATCCGGCTCAAACTATATCATCCCTGATACTGCAATCAGTGTTGTCCTCCTGTTAGTGAAGCTCAGTTCCATCAGGATGCTTATCACCTGCAGCAACTCAAGAAGAATCAGAGGGTAAATGAGATTAAGACAGTGTACTGCACTTGGTCTAGTGGGAATATGTATATTAAATAAGTAATTGTCAAAGTAACATGATATTTAAAGTGACCTTTTTCCTGGGACTCAAATCTAAGGACAAAGATAAGTCACACATACACACACACACAGCTGAAAGTGGACCAGATAAATCCTCAGGGCTTATTAAGAATCATCCAATCTAGTTTTACAAAAGAATACTGAGAGCAGAGAAGGCTGAGAAAGACACTGGCAATTTACTCAGGGAGGGGTGAGTACCATGACTTCTCCCTCCAGAAGTAAGCAGGGATTCTATAAGAATGTCTCCTAGATGTTGGGAAACAGGCATCTCCACACCTTGGCTGGGCATCTGCTTAGACAAAGGGCTGCTGATCGGCCCTCTGTTGGGTGGGGATAGGAGAGAAAAGAACTGGGAAGACAACAGCAAGGCAGATTGCCACACAAAGGAGCAATCTGTTCCCCGCTATTGTGTGCACAAAGATGCATGACTCTTCCTTGCATGGCATCAAAGAAGGGGTCCCACCTGAGCCATGTTGCACATGTGCCATGTCGGGGGCTGTTCTGGCCACCCAGGCCACTTTCACACACAGCAGGAGGCTGTGGGGCGTTCCACAGAGGAGGGAGCTGAAAGAGGGTTCTAAGAGGTCACAAAGAGATGATCTCCCATAAAGAAAACTGCACAGTGGGGACAGAGCCCGCTGAAGAATTCATAGCACTAGAGAGAGCCCACAGTTGTGTGTGTGTGTGTGTGTGTGTGTGTGTGTGTGTGTAAGTTAGGGCTAGCATTAGCCAGTGGAACCAGCATTAGCCCAGAGAGGAACTTCAGCTGAAGCCAGAAATTCAAGAGGACCCCTCACTCCTCTCTCCTGGCCCTTTTTTCCCTCCCCAACCCAATGGAGCTAGGGCCAGAGGACGGGGGAAGAGATGTGAAAGAGGAGGGGCCCCTGCTGAAAACCTCAGGCCCCAGCTGGGGATGAGGGTTGGGTGGAGGAGAGTAGAGAACACGTTTTAAACTGAACTGGTATGGATTTTTAATAACTGAAAAGGATTAGAGACCTAAGAAATCTGCCTGAGATGTAACTAAGGGATGAAACTGATAGAGTTAAGAAAAATTGATTAAGGTGAAAATTAAAATAAATAAACAAAACAAAACCATGTCTTGTTCATCCCTGTACCAAGTTCAGACTACACAATAAATGAATTGCATAGATTGGCTGGGTGTTGGGCAAGAAGCCAGGGTGATGTGGGAGCATGTAGAAATGGCCAATGCAAGGGAAAAATTGTAGGATGAGGAGGAATTAACCAGGCAAAGGTTGGGAACAGGCTGAAGCCAGGAGAGAGGAGTAAATCCAAGGAATCATGGCCATGGCTGATATGGCTGTATTGCTCCATTGATCCATTAGCTCAACCACATTCAACAGATAAGCCAACTGTTTGCTCAATTATTTTTTGATCCTATATTCCTCTGCACTCTACCTTCACCCTCGAAGGAGTCAACCACATTCAGTGCCAATTTTTAAAACTAGCCCGAGTTGGAGGAATTGTATGTAATGATTAAAAGCACAAGCTGTAGAGGCAAAATGCCCAAGTTCAAACCCTGACAATGCCACTTAGTAACTGAGTCCTCCAGTTTTCTCATCTGCAAAATGGGATAACAATAGTATCTTCCTTTCGGTATAGTTGGAAAGATTAAATGAGGTAGCTAGTACAATGCCTGTCATTTAGCAAAAGTGCAATAAATGACATTACATGATTAACTGATTAATGTATGGCAAAGCCCTTTAAAATGTAAATTACAGCTCTCTAAGGCATCATGCTTGAGTTTTGACTGTATTTAAAGCCATGAGACAATTCTCTCGTGGACGTAAACTTTCTGAAGAAAAACATTAAGTATTTGTGTGCAGGTGCTGCACAAAACTCATAGAGCAGAGAGAACTCTTGAGAAAAATTCCAATTTGCTTGACAAGGAATTTATTCTCACATGGCTATTTGAAACATTTTCAATATATGAAGCATAATCAAACACATAAATACATATATAATGGCCAATAACCTATAAGCAGATACAAATAATACGCTTTGAAGTATACATAATGAATGTATTTCACAAATGGAACTTCATTTTAACATTCTAATGAAATCAATCTATTGCTAAACTGGTATCAGGGTTACTTGAATCATAACTACGCACATAGTAGGTGCTCAATAAATCTTTGTTGAAGATAATGGCAATGTAATGACTCCTGTATATTCAAGGAGATTTTTTTTTTTTTTTTTTTGCCTCAATAAATGACTTCTTTCAAACTGGTTTCCAAGTGTGTTTACATCTTACATGAATTCCATTAGTACAGGGCCACACTGAATCACTGTCATATGTAACCTAAGGACAAAAATCAGAATCATTATTTATTTTTTCCTGAATCTTGTTAAAAATAAAACTGCACCATGAATTTTGAACAAATCTAATGCATAAATACATATTTTGGGTGATTCAATGCCAGCATATCCAATTCAAATGCCATCGTATTATAAAACCAACTGATGGCCATCATTCGTGTACACTCTCAATACTTGTGAGTTACTTCACATCCCTTTCCATTTTTCCTTAAATGGAAGAAACTGAAACCTAATAACCAATACTTCCTTCTACCCACACTAAAGAAAAACCACTCTGAGCCTGCAAGCCAACAGTCACGAAGTTGCCATCATTTTATGAGCTCTGTTGCCTCGTTCAGGCGTTCAGTCTTGGTGGCCCGGAATTAGTACCTTGATGCCCTTCTCAAACAACTGGAAGTATTTCCTGCAGAAAGCCCACGATCTGCCTAAGAAGGGATCGTCACCAGATAAAGCCATGATGCATATCTCGTCAGTGAAAACAGTTGAATAAAAGCAAACTTCAACCTTCAAGAAAAAAAAAATTGGAAGCAACATATATTTTGCTTTGTTTCGTTTTGTTTTGTTTTGAGACGGAGTCTCTCTCTCTCCCCAAGGCTGGAGTGCAGTGGCACCATCTCGGCTCACTGCAAGCTCCGCCTCCCGGGTTCACGCCATTCTCCTGCCTCAGCCTCCTGAGTAGCTGGGACTACAGGTGCCCACCATCACGCCCGGCTAATTTTTTTGTATTTTTAGTAGAGACGGGGTTTCACCGTGTTAGCCAGGATGGTCTCAATCTCCTGACCTCATGATCCGCCCGCCTCGGCCTCCCAAAGTGCTGGGATTACAGGCGTGAGCCACCACGCCCAGCCGGAAGCAACATATGTTAAACAGCAGAAGTGTACACTTGTCATCTATCCACTGCACACTTATAAGCTCTTGCCATTTTTGACACATGGAAGTATGCCATTTTATAGAAATAGAATGGCCCCAGTCTAGAAAAAAAACTGGAGGAGGGGAATTAGAATAAGAGAACTTCAAAGTGACATGCAGTTTGGTCTGCACGATTGCAGATGATGAAGGAGAGAGAGAAAATATATAGAAACGTTTTTATTTTTCATTTATATAGAGTTAGCGGTACAAGTGTAGCTGTCACATGGATATATTGCATAGTGGTGAATTCTAGGCTTCTAGTATACCCATCGCCTGAATAGTGTACATTGTACCCAGAAGGTAATATTTTCTCCCTCACCCCCTTCTGACCCTCACACTTTTTGGAGTCTCCAGTGTCTATTTTTCCACTCTATATGTTCATACCCACTGTAGAAACATACTGAGATGGGATTAATAGATGGGCCACAAGGCTAAAAGATAGGTCAAAAAGCTTGATTATAGTACAAGCCAACTCAAAAGTGCTGATTGAGTTCTTAGGTCATCAGAATGTGCCAGATAATGACACTGCTCATTTCCTAAGGGTTTACTCTGCTGCAGGCACTGGGTCGAGCGCCACACCTCAGCTCTTGGTGTAAATTGTCCCACTGAATCTTTGGAACACTGTCATCAGCACAGAGGCTCAAAGCAGTTGAGAGGGAAGAGGGACATTTAGAGGCATAAGCTGACACACCCTGGTAAATGGGGTCCAGGGGACAAGCTCCAGACTACTTCCCCCAAGAAAGGTATCAAGGCTTCATGATTTGTGGGATTGGGATTGAGGCAGAATCAGTGTTGTGTACCCATGAAATATTGGGACAATTTTTCTGCACACTCTTTGATTGACAAGATGCCTAATTTCAAAAACACTACCATGAATTTAGAAAATACTTTAATGAAATCTTATTTTCTTAGTGTATATCTGAGACTGGTAATAGACATATGATGTCATACATGTAGTGACTCAGGTGACAGACAATGCCTGATACATGCAGAGTGCCCATCTAGCCAAGCAATAGGGCCCAAGGGTGCTGGTGGATAACAGAGTGGAGACAGAAGTCCCAGATGCCACGTTCTGGCTGGGTATTCTTGATCACTCTGAGCCTCAGCTTTCTTCTTCTGGAAAATGACGGTGGTAATACCTCATAAGTTACTTCAAAGATGAAGTAAGATGGCATGTATTAGGTTGATCATGGAAAATTGCTTACATAAACAACCATTTTTTACCTACAAGAATGGCAGTTTCTATGGTTCAACCTATTACACAAAGCATACTCCACACAGTCTGACACATTAGAAGGATTCATTAAATCCTAGTGGGGTGGAATGATGAGGAGTTACACGTTCATGGACCCTTAGCAATAACTCCTTCCCACTCCTCTGCCCACCCAAGAGTCTATGGCCATCAGTAGAGAACAGGAAGCTGAAGAATCCACTAGAAAAGACTTTATGCGGCCAGGCGCCTTGGCTCACACCTGTAATCCCAGCACTTTGGGAGGCCGAGGCAGGCAGATCACGAGGTCAGGATATCGAGACCATCCTGGTTAACATGGTGAAACCCCGTCTCTACTAAAAATACAAAAAATTAGCCGGGTGTGGTGGTGGGCCCTGTTGTCCCAGCTACTCGGGAGGCTGAGGCAGGAGAATGGTGTGAACCCAGGAGGCAGAGCTTGCAGTGAACCAAGATAGCGCCACTGCACTCCAGCCTCGGTGACACAGCAAGACTCCATCTCAAAAAAAAAAAAAAAAAAAAGACTTTATGCAATTGGTTTTCTGCCACAGATGACACTGTTGGTTAGGTAGAAAGTTGAAGTGGTTAATAAGGGCTCGGTGTTGATTGAATGTATTGCATGGGTCACCTCTTCCTTGTGGCTGTGCAGGTAGGGGTTGGCACCATCAACTAAGCACATTTCCATTGCACTTGAAACTCAGGCAGGCGAGAGGAGGACTGAAGCAGGGCAAGGGTGGTAGTACCTCTATATGGCCTCACATGGAAAAAGCCAGCCAAGGATGGGTGTAGAAGTTCAAGATTTCACAGCCTGAAGAGCTCATGCAGGACACATTCTTGGGATGCTTTTGTTGTAATCAAATCTGTCCTCTCTTTCCTCCTTCATAGCAAAAATTGTCCATTGGTGGATCACTATTGGATTCTATTCCAGATGGTAACTTAGTGAAGGGAGAGGAAGAAGGAGGGCATCATGCAGGAGGGCAGGTAGCTGGGTTCTAGGCTATTGATTGACATAGCTCCTGCTATTTTATTCTAAGGTTGGAAGGTTGTTTTGTCCCACTTTTTGAATATTATCACAAGTACAAATTCAGGATTTGTATCAGTCAGGCACCACCTGCCAGGACTCAGTAAAGCTTATTCATTGACAAATACACAAATCCCTTGATTTCTTCCTTTCCCTGCCATATAGAAAATGCATTTGTCAACATAAAAAATGCTGGGAAACAAATCTTCATGAATAGAAGACTTTTGCGTTAGACTAAGTTTTATTTATGTTTAATAGTCTTCAAGGTCTTACAGTATATTCTTAATAAGCTTCATAATTTTCTGATATTTCAAAAACCCACAAAGTGACATTTACATAATAATCCTAAAACTTGCAGAAAATTATAGTTGCTAGTATAAAATCATTTAAATATCATAACCTTATAATTTACCTTATTGTTAGTTCGGTGCAGTAATAATTAAGAGATTTATTCTACATATACAGTACTTTTTGAGAGTCTGTTATAAAAATGAATATCTAATTCATGTCATTAAACAGCTTATAGTTTAATTTAGTTATTTTCAAACAATGATACGTGAGAAAATATAGAGTCCATGGCTCTACCCACTAAAAGTTCTGATTTAGCCTACCTGGGAGATGGGTGCAGAAATCAGCACTGACAAGGAGGGTGCAGGGTTCATAACACTCTTGGAGAAGCGCTGATTTATGAGCTAGAGAGAGTTGACTGAAAAGCCTTGGGTTACACAGACACATCACTGTTAGTGCTTTGAGCTTTTCCCTGAGTTCTCTTACATCATGCAAAGTAACACTAGGTGATAGACACTAACAGCAAAAACCCCTCTCTAAGAAGCTCCTACTTGATTACGGAATGAATGCCATATTAGGACTTACTCATAGCAAAGCTCCAGTTCAGCAATTCTATGTAACATGAATAGATATATTTTAAGTCCATTTAATTTAAGCCCATTTCATTTCACACTCTCCTTTGGTGGACACCAACAAGAGCCACAAACCAATGCCTACACAGACCTTCACACTCCGGAAGACCAATGTGAATTCTCTCTTTCCTAGCTCTCTAACCCTATTCCTTTAGCATCTCCTTCTAAGGTTTTGATAAGGTTTAGCTCTGTGTCCCCACCCAAATCTCACCTTGAATTGTAATAATCCCCAAATGTCATGGGACAAACCCAGTGGGAGGTGATTGAATCATAGAGACAGGTTTTTCCATGCTGTTCTTGTGATAGTGAGTAAGTCTCGTGAGATCTGATGGTTTTATAAAGGGAGTTCCCCTGTACATGCGCTCTTGCTTGCCACCATGTAAGACATCCCTTTGCCCTTCCTTCATCTTCTGCCATGATTATGAGGCCTTTCCAGCCATGTGGAACTATGAGCTCATTAAACCTCTTTTTTTTATAAATTACCCAGTCTCAGGTATGTCTTTATTGCAGCATGAGAACGGACTAATACCGGTTTATTTCCCAAACCACTGATTTCCCAAATCATTTCTACTGCTCCTCTCTGGATCCAGACCACATTCTCTAAATCTTAAGATAACTGACAACCAGAGCTACCATTAGCCCATACAGCAACTTTACGTGAATTAGAAAATGGTGCCCCTTCCTAAGACACTTTACTTCTTGTCGTAAGTTCTGATTTTGTCAGGACAGGTAACTGCTCTCTGCCAGAAGTTTGTCCTAATAAGTATACAAATATTAAATGCCTCTAGTTTGCCATGCTCTGCCTGCACACCACGTAGGGTGGCCCTGGAAATGCCTCCAGTTTGCCATGCTCTACCTGCACACCACATACGGTGGCCCTGGAAGGTGAGCTTTGGGGACATTTCCGTTGTTTGTTGAAAATTTTCCACTCTAGGTTCAAACACTGATTATTTCTCCCTATCAATGAAAGGGAGGTAGAATAGATCTTTGGATGGTGATATGACTTACATCTTCAAGCAGAATTCTATTTTTTCCCTCACTTGCTGCCTTGTGGGTGGAGTGTTTGGAATAAGTTGGATTACTGGGAAATTAGTCTTTTTGTAGGCATCCTATTTATGGGGAAAAAAGGATAGTGTCAGTTCAAGTTCTCACCATTTAACTGGAGAAAAACATAGGGTGGGTAAAATCTGCATATACACAATGGCAAAGTAATATTTTGTCAAGAAGTAAACTACGGTACACAGGGATGAGTAATAATGTCTATAGATGTGCCTTAATCTACAAAATGAAGTGGAGAATTAACGCAATCAAGCTTTCTTTCTTTTCTCCCTCCCGTTCTCTCCCACTCTCCTCACTTTCAAAGAAAAGTACCATACGAATAATTGAGGCAAGAGGAGTTTTTTTCCTTGAATAATTCAGGAAATTGCCTCAATTTTCCTCTTCACTTTTCACTACATTTACTTGTGTAGATTCAGACCACATCTACATAATGAGACTCTATTGCTACAGTACAATCAACAAGGTATTTTTTCTTTTGCCTTAGTTCTTCAATTGATTATGTGACACTTAACTGTATCAACCATACATTGATCTGATTTCTTAAGAGAAAAAAAAAGGATTAGCCTGGCCATCACGGCCTTGCCTGCCCCACCCACCTTAGCGCTAGGTGCCTGCACCAGGTGGTTGGTGATTTCAAAGCAATGAGGAGGATTCTTTCTACTAGTATATGTTATGATGTTATTCACAAGGTTGGTCTGTTCATTTGTAAATAAGTAGGATCTCAATTTTAATTCTGGGAAACTGGAAAGGAGATGATGTAAGAATATCTGCAAGTTTCTTTTGAAAGCCAACAGAAAGTTGATTGTCATAAGAACCATTATAGATTCTGTAACAGAAATTTGGTTTTGAATTCAGAAATGGCTTCGGGTCACCACCAGACACGTCTCTCAATTTAGTGAGCCTGGCTTATATCAGTAATTTTTCTGAAGCCAGACCTAACAAACTTATAGAATCCTGTTTATTTAGATATTTTTTCGTTATTTCAAGTGTTTCAACATGTTTGATACATTTACAAATATTTTAATGTTTTTTCACTCTTGTTGCTATACAGTTTATGGGAACTTTCCCATTTTACTGTTTCTGAGTAATCCCTTCTCACTAATGAAGCGCTCACAAGACATAAACCCAAACCTTGCTTGATCCACAGGTTTCCTCTGGACAACACATCCATAGTTGTTGGCTCCAAAAGCAGCGTTTCCTGCAGAAAATCAAGTACATTTCTCCCAGATGCAGAGTGTGGCTTCATGTCCCATCCCTGGTTTTATTAAACGTGGCATGAGCCCTGGATGAAAATCAAGCCTGGCCTAGCAGGGGACTGAGTCATTAAATATCGCCACTGTTAACATCCACATGGCATTTGTGTGTTTACTCTGAGACAATCGATTCTCTGCCCTTGGGTTCGAATTGAACCCTTTGCCTTCCTCTCATTGTCTATTGCTCCCTCCAGCTCTGTTTTTCCCTTAATTCATTTCTTTTTCTCTTTTTTTGTCTTTCCTTTCTCCACCTTTCTTTGTTATAAACATTTTTTCTCTTTCAGTCTTTACCTTTTTGTATCCTCAATATACTCTTTTTCCTTTAATTTTCTTGTTGTAAAAACATTTTTTGCCTTTGGCCCAACCCCAGTACACACAGGAATGCTCTCCAGCCTCTTGGTCTCCTATTGGAAAAGTTTATCTAGCCAGGAGTGCTCCTCCGTCAACCCAAACTCATCTCTCCCTGCCAACCGAGGAAGCCCTTTCTCACCTTGTAGGTTCTCACCTCAGCTCTCAGAGGGCAACAGCCCCACACACTCCCAGTCTTCCTACATGTCATGTGGATTGTTAAGGGCATGGACTTGAGAGTGAGATAGAGCTGCACTGGAGCCCCAGCTTTGTGATCATCAGCAAGTTACATAAACCCCCAGGCCCTCAGTTTCCTCCTCTATAAAATAGGGCAATCCCAATTATTGCTGCTGTGAAGATTAAATGAAGCAATGAATGAGAGCACTTAGCATGATCCTGACCTGCAAGCTAAGGCTGGGTGAACACTTCAACAGGCCAGGCAGTGGCCTAAGCTCAGCGCTGGAGTTACGTCATCTCACGGCAATGCTGTGGGTTACGTATTCCTTATCCACATCCTCTCAATAAGATTGACGAAAACCAAAGTAAGTGTTCTAGTGAAGATCTCCATGACAATTACGACCATAATCACTGGCCCCTGGTGAGCGATGGCTCTGGACCAAGCCCACTTGTAATCGAGGAGAAGTGAGCCTCATGGTTACTAATCTGCATCCCAGGGCAGTGTCTGTCTCAGCTACTTGGCAGACTCCTCTACCTGCTTCAACCCTTGGAAACTAGATTTGGGTGCAATGAGGAGGGGCACAGCAGCCTCCTCATGTGCTGACAGAAATGTGGCACCAGGCTGGGTGCGGTGGCTCATGCCTATAATGCCAACACTTTGGGAGGCTAAGGCAGGTGGATCACTTGAAGTCAGGAGTTTGAGACCAGCCTGGCCAACATGGTGAAACCCTGTCTCTACTGAAAATACAAAAATTAGCCAAGTGTGGTGGCAGGTGCTCATAATCCCAGATACTCGGAAGGCTGAGGCAGGAGAATTGCTTGAATCCGGGAGGTGGAGGTTGCAATGAGCCAAGATCATGCCATTGCACTCCAGCCTGGGTGACAGAGTGAGACTCTGCCAAAAAAAAAAAAGAAGAAGAAAAAGAAAGAAAGAAAAAGAAGGAAAGAAAGAAAGAAAGAAAGAAAGAAAGAAAGAAAGAAAGAAAGAAAGAAACAAACAAACAAAGAAACAAAGAAACAAAGAAACAAAGAAAGAAATTATATCAAAAAAAAAAGAAAGAAAGAAATGTGGCACCACACTAGGAGCAGCAGGGGAAGTCACCAAAAGTCTCAAAACTTGCAGAGCAAAGAAAATGCAAGTGTAATTGAGGCTTAACCAGGCGCTGCTGCTTGCCTGGACTGCCCTGTCACTGTACCCACCTTCTATGGGGGCCACCTCTGGTAGACCCCCAAGGACTTAGTAGGACATAGTTTGCAGACTTCAGCTACAGGCAAATGCAGACATTTTCAACATCACTCACAGTAAGATGTCTTTGGAAGTTTAACCTCTGGTCCACTACGGCCTATCCTAAATGAGTAATCAGACCTGCAGGTATTAATTAAACTTATGGTTCTATTTATTGTAGGACTCTGGGGATTGAGCAGGCAGCAAATAGCAATAAGTACTTCTGAATGTTCTCTTTGGCTTAATTACTGTACCATAGTTAGTCCATCAAATTGATGTACAATCAACAAGGCTGTACTTACTCTATACTGCTCATTTAGTGTGAGAATACTCGGGAGCTGCCAACAACTTTCTCTGATCTCGTCTGAGTCCACTGGAGAATCAAAGCAGGACCAGCCCGTGGAGGCTTTAATCTAGCCTATCACAGATTAGTTTGGCAGGGAGTGCCTCTTCTCCCAGCCAGCATCTTTCTTTTTAGGCATAACCTTGATTGGTGCTGGATGTTCCTCTGTTCTAACCCCATCATCTGATGCAGCCCCAGCAGAACAAAGAGAAGAGCAGGTTTTCCCAGCATCCTCTGGTTTCCAAGGGCTTCATATACCACTAACAGGGAACATTAAAAGTATAGATTCCTGAAACCCAAAGGGACCTTAAAGGTTATCTAATTCAATGGCCTCATTTTATACAAGATGAAACTGAGACTAGAGAAACAAAATGGCTCAACTAAGGTCACACGATGTCTGAATAAGGGAATTTGAAGTTCCAATAGAGACCCACTCAAGCTAACTGAGTTTAGTAAAGGAAGATTCATTATAAGAGTACAGGGGACTCTCAAAGATTCAGTGGGACCTTGCAAGAAGTGGAATGCCACCAACCTCTCCCCTCTGCTTCCTCCTGAGTGTCTCCCAAGCTCTTAATTCTTGTCCCTTGTGACTTCAGATTGCATGTGGCTCTGAGTTGCCATGGTACCAAAATCCGATCCCATCTTCCAGCTTCAATGCCTGACACACAGGTCTCATGTCTCTTTAAATTTTGCAAATTGTTTGATTGGCTCATCTTGGGACTAAAGTTCAGGCATGACGATGCAATTAATTGCAGCCGAGAGCATGTACCACCTAGGCTCCCTCTTCACCATGGACTGGGGATGGGGGAGTTCCAACAAAGCAATAAGATATAAACGGACACCCACAATAGTAGGAGAGCCCACACCAATATCCAGATTTTCCAACTCTGCCTCCAGGACCCTTCCTACCGTATTATGCCAGCTCTAAATTTCGGGCCAAGGATTACCCTTCACTTGAAGGAAAACAGAGTTTGCAGCTAGGATTACTTAGGAAACGGTGGTTCTATAACGGTGGCCTTACAGTGGCTGCCTGTAAAACATCAAGAAACCGTTGCAGCAGTTACCTTATATTTTGATTCCCCATCCATAATACAATTAGAGAGAGAGAAACAGAGAGACAGCAAGAGAGAACATCAAGAACAAATAAGACTAATCAAAACACAAACACCAGGCTTCCTTCTCCATAATCCCATGAAAACCACGTCTCAGTGGCCTTAGCGGAGCCCTTACCTGGGTGAATAATTGAAGAGATGAGAAAAATGCCTTCACATCACCTTTCTCTCCTAGAAGAATCCAATCATGATTTTCACATTTGATCCTCTAGTATCTAAACTACTTCAATTTGCTGTTATTGTTAAGGAAGGAACAAACTGTGCCATTTTAAATTCAGATTTCAGTTCTCTTTCTATTTCCTCCCTCCCATCACACTAGATTTCCTTCTACTTAGTGAATGAAGCCAGGTATAACACATTCATTCATATTTCTCTCTTGACCTAACTCTTCCTGGACTTCCTCTTTCCAGAAGGCAGTCTTATCTTACAGGTAAAATAAGAGACAACTTAAATGAACCCATGCAGATAGTAAAAGCTATATATATATATATATATATATACATATATATAGAGAGAGAGAGAGAGCACTTGGGTTGCTATCTTCAAAAGCAAAGTCATGTCAATGGCAAAGGTACTGAGCCGGTGGTTAGGAGAACTGAGCTGTAGTCCTGGATGTAGAGCAAACTAGTTGTGGGAAAAAGACAGTGTTGCTTTTGGAGCTGAGTGTGGTATTGTGCAGTGTGCAATCAGTGATCTCTGTTTTCAGACATGCCCGGCTACACCATCAGGAGCCCTGGTCACTCTAGAAGGTCCTGTTCACTCCCCAGGCCACACCAATAGGAATGACCACTATATGGCCAAGAGAGCCTGAACCAGAAAGCAGAAACTCTCGTTCAGCTCCCAGCTCTGGGATCCACTACCTTACTCAGGCCATTTACCTTCTCCCCCTTTTCCTCACTGAAAAACAGGGAATTTGGAGCAGAACAGTAGATCGTGGGCTTTCCAGATTTTAAGCTCCTTTGAAAAATGTGATGCACGCTACAAATCCTCTCCCCAGAGAAATGCACACACACCTTAAGGGCTATGCATGATTTCAGGAGGCTCATTTAACCACCTAAAGGCTGTCTTTGAACTTGGTTTGTTTATTCATTTGTTTCTTTGTTTGTTACTCTGTTGCCCAGGCTGGAGTGCAGTGGTGCAATCACAGTTCACTGCAGCCTCAACTCCTGGGCTCAAGCCATCCCTCTTCCTCAGCCTCCCGAGTAGCTAGGACTATGGGCATATGTCACCATACCCAGCTAATTTTCTTTATTGATTTTTTTAAAGACAGAGTCTTGCTATGTTGTCCAGGCTTGTCTCAAACTCCTGGACCCAAGCAATCCTCTCATCTCGGCCTCCCAACATGCTGGGTTAACAGGCATGAGCCACCATACATGGCCTTGAACTTGGTACTGACTCATAAACCCCAAGTTAATTTCCATTGAACTAGACAACCTTTAAGGCATGTCCAGCTTTGGGAGTCTGTGAATACCAATTATCCCCAAGTCTACCTACGGCATAAAAGAATTTCAGCACTTTGTGCAAAGTGAGAGATCATCAACTCTATTCTCTCCTTTTACAGATGAAGAAACTGAGGGCCAGAGAGCCTGCACTGGTTGTCTATGATCATAGACAGAGCCTATAGAGCTGGGACTAGAGCCTCCATCGTTCAGTGTAGGTTGCATGGCACTCTGAGGTGGGTGCTGCAAAGCGTTGGCAATGCCTGACTACTGGAGGCTCATGAAGATACAGCTCCTCGTCTGGCAGCTCTCTACTCGCCAGGCCCTTGTGGCTGTGATCTCCTGACTTGAGAGCTGATCAGACATTGTCCTGGAGTTCCCTGCATTGCAATAAGAGAGTGGATGCCACCTTGAGACATTTTGGTTGCAATACCACCCAGCACTGGGCGTCAATGAGCAGCCAAACATGGTTTCATTTCAAAAGGCAGACGGAAGCAGTGCTCATGTGTGGTTCCTAACGGCACCATCGGAATTCCACTGATGCCAGCCAATCCAGGATAAGAAAATGCACATCATCTCTTATTAGTGAGATCTGTAGCTTGAGAAAATACCAGAAAGTTCGGTTATGCCCTGCCTCACCTGAAACCTCAGCTTTTTGATAACTGCACTCCGGAGTTGTGTCACATTCCATAAATCACACGTATAGAGGAAGGCTTGAAGCATTTTCTCAAGTGTGCATAAAATCTGGAGGTTTTTTTTTTTTTCTTTTTTGCCAGTCTCGACGAGCAGTGGGTGTCTGGGTGGGTGGATTGAGTGACACGTTAGTGAGAAAGTTCCCTCCCCTTGAAGAGCTCCTCGAAAAAGGAGTCAGAGAGATATCATTTGAGAAAGTGACAGGCAGATCATGTAGCCTCGGCGCCGAGGAAATAGGGTTTAAATCTGTCAGAATCCTGAATTCAGAACAGCGCTGGTACCGAGAAGGGAGTGAACCGAACCTCACTAACCTCTGTCAGCGCCGGTTTTTTATTTCATGCAAACCCCCGGAGGAGCATCTCAGATCACTCCTTCCTCTCTTTCAACATCCTGCAGCTAAAAACGAGACCCCAGCAGCTACACGGCAAGAGGGGCATTCTTCACCTCCCATTTGTTCCCGAGGAAGTCTCCCCCCATTCCTTGCCCTCCCTGCACTGGCTGCAAAGGTCTCCCAATTATCTCCTCTACCTGCCACATTAGAAAGTACAGTACGTGAGTTGCCAGAAATTCAGCGAGTCTGAGGACATGCCACAGTGGCACAGCCATGACATGAGAACAGATGGAAAACTTCTCAGGAACAAAATGTGCACACAAAAAATGGATTCTGGCTTTGAAGTGGATATTCACGGTGCAGCTTTCAAGTCTTCTGAAAAGCCCAAACTCAAATCTGACCTACTTAGGCAGTGTTCTTATTTATGTCTCAGACGAATGAGCTGTATATTTAGCAAATGAGAACTATTCATCCCCCATGCCCATTTCTTTATGTTTATAGAGCAGAGCAAATTTTGCTTTTTAATTTCTCCCCAGATTGTCTCCATGAAAGTGGATATCTACGTTAAACGCTGGTCAAAATCCGTACGTTCCAGGAATTCCACATAAGTGCATTCACATTTTCATTGAGTGTATGGGTTAATACCATTTAAAAGAAAAAGAATGAGACTACAGTTGATCTATGTTTGTCATCTTAGTTGGCAGATCAGCTGCTTGGCCTGTCTATTATTAATGCTGCAGTTCAGATTTACTGATGGTCCAACATGCAAACAGTGTAGATTTCTGCTAGAGAGCCTAGGTGAGCAAAGCGAAGTATAGAATTGAGGCTATTACCTAGCTGTCTCAAGCCAAAATAGACATTAGTTTCAATTATCTGGGTTTCCGGGAGAAAGCCTTTTAACCTTCATTATCAGGATAATTACTTCAACTCTCACCCTTTGTACATGCAATCAAAACCATAAAGTTTTAATCCCTGTGGCAAACAGTCACCTCAAATCTGTTTTACCATACACATGCAAAGCGCACACCTTCTAAAGAGGATGTGCATTCTTGTAGCTTTGTTTAAAGGTGTCCTCCAAAGAGGAACTGCTCTTCAGCAAAGCGGTTGACACAGGATGTCGCATCACTCAGCAGTGAGTCAGACCCCTTTGGATTTTGTCAGAAACAGAGAAAGCCAACTTTAGGAATCCAGGGCCCGGTGTTTCCATGCACGCTAAAACATATTCTTTTTCTTCCTGATAAAAGTGTTAATCCTACCCTTTCTTCATTTTTTAATGTTTCAAGTTTTTTGTAGAGACGGGGTCTCTCACTATGTTGCCCAGGCTGGTCTCGGACTTCTGACCTCAAGCGATCCTCCCAGCTCGGCCTTCCAAAGTGCTGGGAATACAGATGTGAGCCACCTTGCCCAGCACCACCTCCTCTTATTGAATAGGGAAGGGTTGGATGAATAGCAGCTGAGAATAAAAAAATAATGTATGGAGTCTTATTATATGACGTATTTTCTCTTTCAATTCTCAAAACGAGTTTATGTTCAGTGTTTAATAGTACATTTTTATCAGTCCAGCTCTCATCTTTTCAATTAAGCAAATGTGTACTGCAGCCCCGGGGCGTCGTCCTGGCTGTGTCTCCCAGCACCTGCATTCTCCTGAGCTGCAGCCACCGGAGCCAGAGTCTCCTGCACATGGTACTACGGCATCAACATCATCATCACCATCACCCTCGCCACGAGGACCCTCAGAAATCATCTGACCTGAAAGTGTGACTTCAGTGTACACACCTTCCTCTCCCCTCACTCCTTGCCTGGACCACATCCCCTTCCTAAGAAGTTGCTCTGGCCTGAATAGAAAGCCCTCTTCCCTCCTCTCAGGAAAAGATGAGCTCCATCTCTAGGTAACACTGCTGAGCCTGTGCCTGCAAAGTTGGCATCCCCTACTCAGTCTACTTAGCTCAGCACAGTTAGATGAAAATAAATGCAGACATCAGAGTATTTCTCTTACCTGCAGCTGGCTCCCGGGTCATGCTTTGTCAGAGCTGGCACCCCGATATTGGAGTTTCCAGCCTCCACACTGAAAGAAACAAATTTCTGTTGTTTAAGCCACCTAATCTATGGGATTCTGTTATGGCAGCCAGAGGAGACTATGGGAAACACCCTCTGAGTTGCCCCACCCACCTTACCCCTTTGGAGCCCCACATTTTCCTTCTCCCAGTTATCGCCCCATCTGAATATTTGGACTTGCTCTCAACTCACAGATTGACCAGGAACCTACTATGTGCTTGACATTTTGGGGCCAATTCTTGTAAGACCCTGTGCCCTCCAGTTAAACAACTGATATTGGCATCCCTGTGAGATGCTTGTGGTCCTGCTAACATCAGCTGTGACTCTGGGTTCAGAGAGCAAAGTAAATGAAATACAGCTATGTTGGCTTCTGCCCCATTAGGAAAGGGAAAAATCAATGTTTGCCAAATGTAGAAGGACAAAATCAATAACGAAAGAAATTTTATTTTCAACCTTCTAAGGGAGTATTACGAAGAAGAGAGAGTGAAAATTATTATTATTTATTGATGTATATAGCACCTTCTGAAAGCCTCAAAGTGTTTTATAGAATTACAAAGGGCCTTTGCCCTTTTCTGCGTACAGATCACTCTGTTCTGCTCCTGCGAAGCCCTCGCTAGAGGGGCGAGTGCAGGAAGCATTAGAGCAACATGATGCCACAGTGACAGGGGGATTACTTAAAGTTGGCATCCTATTTATTTAGAAAAAAAAACAAAGGAATAATTAGTAGTGCAGTGAGGTCAGCACACCCTCGTCTTGCAGAAAGTTCCTGAGGAAGACACCTCCTCTTTTGATATTTAGATGGCATCATAATATATGTTGTTTGGCAGAAAGAGAAAAACCTCTCTCCACCCTTCTCCAACGTTCCTTCCTTGGAACAAGCAGCACATTTGGGGAGAATCAGCCACCTGCTGCCAACATCTTAATGCAGTTCCTGGCAGAGGAGTTTTGATAGATGGATTCAAAGCCATGAGTGTAAACGACTGAACAAAACTTTCAGGGGGGATAAGATGTCAAAGGAACGAGGCTACAGAAAGCAGGGCCTTCCGAGGTTGGCAGCTGTCTGAAAAATTCACAAAGGGAATAGTCAGAATGAAATCCTATAAGGGCAGAGCGATTTCAACTTTTCAAGCTCCTCTCACCTGTTTTTTCTCATTTGAACTTTGTAATGATCTGTTGAGAAAGAGAGGGCAGGAATCATTAACCCCATTTTACAGAGGCTCATAGAGTGTAGGTGACTTACCCCGATTCATTCAGCTATTTACTGGCAGAGCTCAGAATGAAACCTGGTCTCCAAGATTCTTAGAGCCAGAAAGAAGACCAGAGATCAAGAAGCTCAACTCTTTACCCCAAACAAGAATCCCTTCCACAGCACCCCTGAGAATCCGCAAATCTGGGAATGATGAATTCATGACGTTGCAAGAATTGCATTCACTCTTTTAATTATTATTTGATCTTTTAATTATTAAAACACAGAAATCTACCTCCGTATGCTGTCCCCTGATTTCTCCTAATTTTGCCATCTAGTCTTATCCAATCTGTCTCACTTCCATGTAAGGACCCTGCAGATGAGGAGGGCTGATAGATGAGCACTATTACTGTCCACTATTTGACAAACATCTTCAGTTCCCTCAAGAACTGTTCCTATATTGTGGTTTTCAGATATTTTCCTCTCCTACCCTGGACAGTTCCAATTTGTCTCTATTACACATTAAAATCATATGCTCAGAACTCAACAAAAATTCCAAATATCATCTGACATCATGAGAAAGTAAGATTATTTCCTTTAGTTTTCTGCATACTACAGAACATGCTTTGAGGGGAATCTTCATTCACACTGTTGAATTCAAGTGATCTACTCAAAATCCAAGGTCTTTTCAGAGGAACTGCCAAATTTTCCAACCACCAACACCCCATCCTGTATCTTTGCATTCAATCTCTAAACCTCAGTGGAGGACTTTACATTTAGAAGTATTGAACTCTCTCTTATTCATGCCCATTAGCTCAGCCTGTTGAGCTCTTGCGACTCCTGATTCCATCTTCTAGCACACTGTCCTGTGTAGATTTGTAGATCAGCCCTTCTACAACTTCTTTCAAATTAGTAATAAATCAATTCAATGAAAGAGAGCCCAGAGTCGAGCTCTATGACAGGCATTAGTGAGTTCCTTATTGGTTGGCATTAGCTCATGAATCCACACACTGGTTATCCAGCTAGCAATTAACTTCCCCAACTAGTGTTCCCTGCACGTACTTCTTGTTAGGCAGTGCTCTAGGGTCAGTCACAGGTAATAGCTACTTTAAGAATAAGAGGGATGAAGTGTGTAAAATCTCCCTGAATTCGCTGTTGCTACCCCCTTTGCTTTCTGTCCCTGGCTCCATTGCCACTCCAGCTTCTCCCCAAGCCTGATGTCCCCGCTCCTGCTCCTGTAATCACCTTTCCTTGGGGTTTTGATGTTCCTGTGTCACCATCCCAATGAACCACCTTACCCAGTGTAGACTTCAGCTTCTACTTGAAAGCTCTCCCTTGAAACCAGCTGGCCTTACTCCGTCACTCCTTTTGTCTCTTACAGCGTCCCTTATTCCTGCAGCTCACACACCTTCATCTTGTCTACACAAACTTTATAAGAAACTAAGTCAAAATCTCTAATAAAAATCCAAATATATCACACAGTAGCATTCAGTTATCTATTAAGTTTGGTTACCATATCAGGAAAAAAAAAGTACACCTCTATGTGGATTGCTGGACCATAGTTTGTGTGTGTGGAGTTCACCTCCATGTGACCTTGGCTCCCCTTCTCCTGGAAGCTTCTGCTGCCATCTACATGGTTTCCACACAGCACAATGTGATCCCACACCCAGGCTGGTTGATTGGTCCAGGTGGCCAACTGCCCCAGACTGAGCCAATTACATTTCTTCTATAGAAACTAACCCTGAAACTGAAGCAAAGAAGCTAATTTCTCCTGGGTTACCAGACTCAAGATGCGGTGCTTAGAAGCCATTGGCTGCCATGTTTACTGTCCTGTGGACCAGGAAGAAGTTCCCTACCTGTGAGTGGAGAGAAGACAGACATGGAAGGGTTGAGAGGCACAGAGACAGCCAACCATGCAAATCCTAAAAACTCAGAGCCTGGTTACTGTTTTTTCTGACATGAACCACGTTCTTCTCCTTGGGTCCTAAGAGACACCCAATATTTTTAAAACAAAACCCCTTTTTATTTTAGTAGCTTGAGTTGAGTTTCTGTAATTTGCCACCAAAGAGTCCTAAGGGATATAGAGACAAGCACGACCCCCACCCCCAGGGCCACCCCACTGCTCCAACCTTTCTGGACTGTACCAGTGGAGTCCTCCAAACACAGTCAATCCCAAAGATGTCTGGGGCTGCAGGAAAAGAAATATCATTGAATAAATGTATCTCACTGCATCCTTTCTGGGCCATTGGTAACAACAGATAAACAAAGCCTTATGTTCTTTCACATTCTTGAACAGCACAATTCCTTTTTATCATGCTGTTTATTCCACAGTTTGCTTTCTTTTCCTTTTTCTTTCTTGATGGCCTCCTATTTACAGCACAGGAAAGTCCCTCTACCAGGCCACAGTCCAAATCATGGACTATTATAGGCCACAGGGAGAGAAAGCCTGGCGAGACAGAGGCAGCTGAGAGTATCTGCTTATTTTAGTGACTTCAAGTTGAACAGTGAAGGGAATTTCCAGTTGAATAGCCCTTCTGAGCACAGCACAAATGTTTCATGAGTCTCCTGTTCACAGCCCAGGCAGGTCCGCTGGTAAATACCTGAAACAGTCTCTTTTTTAATTATACCTCTTGGTTAAAACCAAACAGCTTCTATGAGGGAGAAAGGAAAAAAAATGAATGAACTCTGCACAGTCCTAAATTCAGTCAACTTCACAAACACAGACACAACAGCTAGATATAGAAAGGCTTCGGCCAGGCGCAGCGGCTCACGCCTGTAATCCCAGCACTTTGGGAGGCCAAGGCGGGTAGATCATCTGAGGCTGGGAGTTCGAGATCAGATTGACCAACATGGAGAAACCCCATCTCTACTAAAAATACAAAATTTCCCAGGCATGGTGGTGCATGCCTGTAATCCCAGCTACTAAGGAGGCTGAGGCAGGAGAATTGCTTGAACCCAGGAGGCAGAGGTTGCAGTGAGCCGAGATCGTGCCATTGCACTCCACCCTGGGCAACAAGAGCAAAACTCCATCTCAAAAGAAAAGCTTCAACCATTTGAGGTCAACCAACTGTGTCCGAGTTCTGCCCGTGGAATCTCCATGTCACGTGGGAGTCACCAGCCTTCCAGTTCAGAAGGAAGAAACTCTCCCTCCAGCCCGCTTTGTGCATCGCTAGGCAATATGAACATGAAGACCATCAGACTCAGGAGCCATGACAATGTCCCTACAGTGTTCTTGAGAATATGCCAGAAGAGACAACAACAGGGCTTAGGTTCTAAGTAACTAGAACCAATATATATTATAAGTTCCTTAGGGTCATGATCCCCGTTTGGTTTACTATTTTTCACCTCTCCTAGCTCCTAAAATTGGAAGCAGCTACATAATTTGCAGAACCCACCGCAGAATACAAATGCAGCACGCCTTGCTCAAAAATGAAGCATTTCAAGACAAGGACAGCAGAGCATTTAAACAAGGCGTGGGTGCCTGTTTGACTGCATAGGTTGCATATCCACGAACCTTGTCCATAATACCTTGGCCACGCTTTGTGTAGAACAAATGCTTATTAATGAATCAATGAATCGAACGACCAGGACCAGAGGCAGAAGGGAACTAAAGGGAAAGAGGATGCTCCTCCTTAAAGCAAGCAACCCATTTGTATCTCTTTGGGGCTTCTGCTTGGAATCCTTGTAAGGAAGGTTTCCAGTATTACATCAAGTTTGAAAAATGTCGTTAAGTGAAAGCATTATTTTTGTAGAATTTAGAGCACGGTGTCACTCACAACTAGGTTCTTACTAAATCAAATCAGGTATGGATTGAATAGACGAAGCCATCAAGACAGAGCATCACAGAAAATACACAATCCGACATGCAGAATTTAAATCTCCTTTAGAGCACACTGCTCACTTATAAATGATCCGTGAGTTCATGGGTTGCTCTGCCCCCTCCCCTCTGCTAAACAACATCTTCCCAATGTAGTTTCATGCCACTTCCCCAATTCGTTCCTTTAAATTCTCATTTCTACCCAAGGCCTCAGTCCCTATTATTAGCACCTCATATCGAAGTACCTGTCTGTAGGACTGTTGCAACAAAGTGTTCAGTCCTTCGAGAAGTTGCATGTTGCAGTAACCTTGGTCTGCTCTTTAAAAGCAAAGGATGGGGATGCTGACCAAGCATTTTCTGAGAAATGAGTGTAAATTGCAGGAAACAGTGTATAAATTAAAGGAACTGCCTAATATAATTAGCCACACAGGAAATGTAACCGGTCTGGAAAACAAAAGTGTAATTTATGAGGAAATATCAATTGGAATAATGTAAATAATGGGGTTTTCACTGTAGTTTTTAGTTACTTATGGAACTAAGGTAGTAATTAGGCAAGGAAGTGCTTATCAAAATCTAGGAAGATTCTCTAAAGATTCTGCTTTATAATGCCACCCCACCTTCAGGAAAGATCCTTAATTAATGGTATGATTTTGGTAAGATCTATAATGGGCCCAGGTGAGTCTCCCCACTCCTCACATTGTGCTAACCAAGCCTAAGAAACACAGCCTAGCTCTTAGCCAGGATTCTCAGGGGAAAGCTCTCTACTATGATTTCATTTGACACTTAATTCCCACCCACCTTTGCCTCACTCACATTTCTCACTGTTTCCCTCTGAAGTGGTCAGATATTGGCAACATCTACTTGTTTAATATCATACATACAAATAAAAACCATTATTGGTGTTCTTGTATGCCTCTCCGTGTATTAATTTCACCAACCTCCTCTTCAGCCTCACCTTTTCTGTCTTACAAAGCAGTTAGGCTCTCCACACAAAAAAAAAAAAACAACATATATATTTAATAAGCCCAGGGGCTCACTACATAAATGGAAACGTAACACCAACCTCTAAGCAATGATGAATCGCATCAGCTTTAACTGGAGCTCAGACTCAGGCACAGATCCTTTTTAATTAAAGAAAAACAACTTGTATTTGTTAATATATTTTTTTTTACTATAAAAACCTGATGGTTACTTACCCTGAGACCTTAACTCTGCCCTAGTGTATCTCAAAGGAATTGAGTAGGGTAACCCAGAAAAACTATGGCAGTGAATGCAAACACCCTCAATGCCAGTGCTGCTTGAGTTCTCTAGGCCCAGATCACTAATGACAGCAAACTGACAAAATGACTAACGGAGCAGAAAACAAAAACTATGCTTCACATCTGTTTCTGTTCCACTGCTGTTTCTTAAATAGGAGACCTGCCACCTGTCCAGTGGTCCACTGGCAGCCACAGACTGACCTTCCTATCTTCTCTTTCTCTTCTTGTCTCCTGGGATGGGTCCTTCAGTCTGTGTACTCCACACAGACATGTTGCGCCAACTCACGAGAGCCCTCTCCCACCTTGGTGCCCTCCACCACCCCACGCACCCTCTTCTCTAGAGGCAGAGGCTGCAGAGCTGCTCACCCTCCTCCTGCGTGGGGAACGGCCTCCTTCCCCACCCTGCCCCTGCCCACACCAGGTGGCCTGAGAGGTCAGGAAAATGATCCTGCCTCCCCAAAACACTGCAAGTCTACACCCCAAATGAGCACTTTCTCATACTGAACAACTCTGAAGAAGAGAATGAGAAAGTAGATTCTAAATTGTTTTTTTAATTCCTTGGTCAACATATGGTTGAAGTTTAAAAACGGAGCTCACAAACTTTTCTGGTCTCATCCATGGGTCTTTTATGACCCTGATAACAAGGGGCGATTGGCTTCTTGGTATTCACAGTGTTTTAAAGGTAGAGATAGTGACATATATTTCGACACAAAGCAAAAAATATAGCCTCTTCCTTATTCCTACTTCTGGCCATCACAGAGATCCTTCTTTATAATTACTTGGGCTATTGCTATTACGGCCATCATTTTCGCTGTTTACTATTATGGGTATTTAGAGGCTCATAAAAAGTGAGCTTCCTCAATGCTTAGACAGCACGAGAGATAAATCAGAACACTGGCTGACTGGATGAAACCTGACTGGAAACAGCTGGATTGCTCTCTTGACTAAATATTTACAAAAGGCATGATTATATCACTGAGTGACACTGTGCGAATATAACAATTTATCAATCATCTTGTTTAATGCCATTCCCTGCAGGAAGGGCTGCATTCCCACTTAACAATAAAAATCTACTGTATGCTAATCAATTTCCTTATTTTCACTTAAGGTTATTTCAGACACGTACGCCCCTGTGCTTTTATAACAACACATTTCACACAGAGACCAAACAAATGTTTTATAGGCCAAAAAGTGGGCAGGGGGTGTCAGGTTAACTATTAATCTCGGCTCACATGCAGTCTTTCGGGGTGATGGTCAGGAAGAGTGGACACGTGAAGGCGTGAAGATGTCGTCTGGGGATCTGGTTACAGAAGATGCTGCTAATTCTGAAGAATTTAAGAAAAATGAAATGGCAGACACCGGTAGCGTTGTGAATTTGAATAAAGAAATGTGAGCCAGTGGTGATTTGCCATAGAAGTAGCCACGGTGAAGCAGGTCCACTGTCACCATGCAGAGCACTGCCCAGTAATGAGCTTTAGCAGAAGCAGAGGGACGCATGGTCCCTGTCCTCCAGCGCCCATCAGCCTCATGGGAGCAGCTGGATGGACCCAGGCTGTCTTGCACAACATCACAAGTGCAAACCTCTACAAAACAAGTTAGCAGAGGAATTCTGGGAAGATGGCTGTGGTATTAACAGCACAATTTTTGACTTCCAGAATTGTCATGTAAAACAGAGCAGGTAGATAGCAAAACCAACAAAACACATGAACAACATCTGTAACAAAACTAGACGACAAGGTTTTGGCTGGGCACGGTGGCTCACACCTGTAATCCCAGCACTTCAGGAGGCCAAGGTGGGTGGACCACCTGAGGTCAGGGGTTTGAGACCAGTGTGGCCAACATGGTGAAACCCCATCTCTACTAAAAATACAAAAATTAGCCAGGCGTGGTGGCAGGCACCTGTAATCCCAGCTACTTGGGAAGCTGAGGCAGGAGAATCGCTTCAACCCAGGAGGCGGAGGTTGCAGTGAGGCAAGTTGGTGCCAGTGCAGCACTCCAGCCTAGACAACAAGAGCGAAACTCTATCTCAAAAAAAAAAAGAAAGAAAAGAAACTAGATGACAAGCTTTCTCTGCAAATCCCAAAATACAAGTGAGTGTCCTAAAGTCCTGACTGCCCAATGCCAACATGTCATTGGCATCTGTGAGGAAGAAAACAGAGACAAGGAACAGGACAGGCTTGTGAGCAGAACCCCAAATGAACAGCAGGGATTCCCAGGGAAGTGTGCTGGGCTGATCTGAGAGGAGCCACTGAGTCCAGAAGGGGTTTTCTTCTGCATCATGGGCCAGCACAGGGGCCTGTGGCTACCAGGTCAGAGGGGCTCAAGTCATCTAGCTCCTCTAAACCCTCCAAACTGACCAGCCTAGTATCCCTCCCAGGAAGGGGCCCACGCCAAGGAGATGTCAGGAATGCAACCACAATCTTGCAGCAGAGGGACAATAGAGGCAAAGGAAAGAGAAGGTGCAGATAAAAGCGGGGCACGGTGGAAGGAAAACGGTCAGGAAATAGCAAGCCAGTTGCCCCTTGTTTCCTATCACTATACAAAAACAACCTAAGAGGGAGAGGCACAAAGTTAGCAACTCTAAGAGCTTATTCTTCTAAAAAATTGGGAAAACAAAATCCACATAAAAGCGAGCAACAGAAAAACGTACAGGTCAATTCCAATACAAATTGACTGTAAGAAAAAATCAAATTAGTATCAGAATGACATCCCTAAAGACAGTGAAAGCATGCCAGAAAGACATACTAAAAAACAAAAGAAGATCAAAACTACAATATACTTTTTCAAAATAAGCTGAAAGACGTTAAGAAAATGATATGATGTGAAAGACCAACATCTATCAGAATTAGAAAAACTCAAACAAGGGGATAAAACTCAAGAAAAAATTATACATAAAAGAAAAAATAATTTTAGAAATAAGACAAAAGTATTAGGAACACAGGCAAATAAACACAATAAATAAGGCCTTCTCAAGGTATAAAGGAGGGGATTTAAAAAAAAAAAAAAAAAAAAAAAGGCCGTGTGCGGTGGCTCACACCTGTAAATCCCAGAACTTTGGGAGGCCGAGGCAGGCAGATCACAAGGTCAAGGGATCGAGACCATCCTAGCTAACACGGTGAAACCCCTGTCTACTAAAAATACAAAAAATTAGCTGGGTGAGGTGGCAGGCACCTGTACTCCCAGCCACTCAGGAAGCTAAGGCAGGAGAATGGTATGAACCCAGGAGGCAGAGCTTGCAGTAAGCCGAGATCATGCCACTGCACCCCTGCCTGGGCAACAGAGTGAGACTCTGTCTCAAAAATAAATAAATAAATAAATAAATAAATAAATAATAAAAAAAAAGAAAAAGAAATTTTCAAAAAATTTTTTTTAAGTTTCAAGACATGACAAATACTGGAGATAACCAAAGAAATCTGAATGTGAATAATAAAAGTCCCTGAAAAAAAGAAAATCAAAGCAAGAGAGCAGAACAAATAATAATAATTCACAAAAGCTTTCCTCAAATTAAAAGAAAAAATGGTATGAGATCACATATTGAAATACCTCTGTGTATACTTGAGAAAAATCAACTCAGAATTATTAATATTAAGACATATTCTAATAAAACTGCTGGACTTTAAAGAAAAAAATCATCTGGACATTGAACAAAATGAGATTATGATTTATAAAATGATGAAATTAGGTTTTCATCAGATAATTAAATATCAACTCTTGTGCCAAGAGAAAACAGAAAAACATATTTAAGATACGCAAGGAAAGAAAATATGAGTGAAAGATTTTATACCCAGCAAACCTGACCTTCAAGTAAAGAAGGTTCAAACTCTTACCGACATGCAAAACTCAGGAAATATTCTGTCCATGAGCCCTTCCTAAGGAATCCATTAGAAAACAAGATTTAGAAAAATAAAATGACTAGAGGGGCTTTCAAAAAAAGACTTGTGATGAACATTAAATATGTAATTACTTGTAGAACCAAGAGTAAATGGGAACCAACAGAGAGTGATTGTAATATGTAGTAGCTAAATGATCTGACACTGTAGATATAGAACTGTAGATATAGAACAGCCATTTTTTTTAGTGGGAGAACAATGAGTATAACATATTTCCTGTAAATTAGCAAAAACTTACAAGTCTCTGGATTCAGAGACTTAATCAGACTCAGATTTTATTCCTTTAAAAAGATTATAAGGGCCTTTATGTTCTTTCATCAATAACCAACATGATGTCAGGTTTCATTCTTTTTTAATGAAAACCATATGTAACTATTTTTAGTAATTCTATTAAACTGTTTTCAGTAATCAAAATTTCTGGTGGTATTATCAGTATTGCTATTCCTAGGTCTTTTTTAATGTGTAATTTGAAGTTAAACAAATGATAATCTAATACTATCATCTCCTGTGTCCTTCTTGATGTGGAAGAAAAAAGATACAGAGATAAGGTAGAAGAGTTTATGTAAAACATAACAAATCCTGTAGTGCTGAATTTGAATTAGAGGTATTAGTCCGAACATAAAAGGTATTTTAAATCAAAATACAAGCACCCACACACAGGTTTACTGCCTAGCTCTGTTCACTTGAAAAGCCTAAAAAGAATGAGCAATCCAGGAACAATGAGTATTTTTGGTTCCTAGGTTGTGGTCTTGAAATGTTATTTTCCAATTTTTTTTTAATTTGTATTTTTTCAAGAATTTCACTCTTGTCGCCCAGGCTGGAGTGCAATAGCGCAATCTCAGCTCACTGCAACCTCCACCTCCCAGGTTCAAGCAATTCTCCTGCCTCAGCCTCCTGAGTAGCTGGAATTACAGGTGCCCACCACCATGCCCAGGTAATTTTTGTATTTTTAGTAGAGACGGGGTTTCACCATGTTGGCCAGGCTGGTCTCGAACCCTTAACCTCAGGTGATCCACCTGCCTCAGCCTCCCAAAGTGCTGGGACTGCAGGCCTGAGCCACTGTGCCTGGCCGTCATTCATTTCTTGGAGAATAGGTGGGGTAAGAGATGTAAACATAAGAAGATGAGCCCACACCCGGACACACCAGATAGCAAGAAAGCCATCAGGCATATTGAACTTCCATCAAGATGACAATTGCCATGGACTGAAACTCAACGTATGTATGTATATCCATGGTAATTTTATTTTTTTTTTTTATTTTATTATACTTTAAGTTTTAAGGTACATGTGCACAATGTGCAGGTTAGTTACATATGTATACATGTGTCATGCTGGTGTGCTGCACCCATTAACTCGTCATTTAGCATTAGGTATATCTCCTAATTTTAATGATTTATTTTATATACTTGCAATCATTTATTTAAGTGGCTTTTTTTTAAGTGGTCACCTTCTGAAGATGACAGAGAACCAGTGAAATTCTTCAAAAAATAGTTAAATAAAAGTAGAGAATCAAGAACTTATCCTGCCTTTCCTGTATGAACTTCATCACTGGGTAACCAATAATAGATGAGGATAAATATTACCTTACAAAATTATTCCAGCTAGTAAATAAAAATAAAAAAATAGAATTAGAACATCACCATTTTGCAACCATATAAATTAATGGACTTAGGCATTGAGGATCAACATTTGCTAACATCAAAACAGAGCAGAATCAGACATTATGTTCCTCCCGATGAAAAACACAAGGCCATCTATAATCTTGCCAATGTGATCAAACCTGAGTCTAATCCAGCCTCCGAATTGAGCTGGCAATTTATAGGGAATACAGAGAACAAAAGATGTATCAAAATGTCCCATGCAATGATATTTATTCATGTTTACATTGCTACTTGTTTCAATGAATGCTCATCCTCACCGGATTTTTTTTCTTTTCACTTTTAAGTTCAGAGGTACATGTGCAGTTTTGTTATATAGGTAAACTTGCATCATGGAGATTTGTTGTACAGATTATTTTATCACCCAGGTATTAAGCCTAGTATCCATGAGTTATTTTTCTTGATCTTCTCTGATATGCTTTGGCTCTGTGTCCCCACCCAAATCTCATCTTGAATTGTAATCCCCACATGTCAGGGGAGGGACCTTATGTGAGGTGATTGGATCATGGAGGCAGTTTCCCCCATGCTGTTCTCATGCTAGTGAGTGAGCTCTCACAAGATCTGGTGGTTTAAAAGTGAGTGGCACTTCCCTCCTCTGTCTCTGTCTCTGTCTCTGTCTCTCTCTCTCTCTCTTTCTCTCCTGCCACCACATAAGACATGCCTTGCTTCCCCTTCACCATCTGCCATGATTGTAAGTTTCCTGAGGCTTCCCCAGCCCTGCAGAACTGTGAGTCAATTAAACCTCTTTTCTTTATAAATTTCCCAGTCTCAGGTAGGTCTTTACAGCAGCGTGAAAATGGACCAATATACTCTCCCTCCTTCTATACTCCACCCTCCAATAGGCCCCAGTGTGTGTTGTTCCCCTCTGTGTATCTATGTGTTCTCATCATTTGGCTCCCACTTACAAGTGAGAACATGTGGTATTTGGTTTTCTGTTTCTGCATTAATTTGCTAAGGTTGATGGCCTTGTCTATACAAGCAGAAAAACCTTGACCCTGGGAAACTCAACAGCACAGTTCTTCAATATATCAATTTTAAGGAAAAGAAATGGATGATCTATACACTATAAAATGCATATCAAATAAATGATGTCTAGGATGCATAACTGAGTGACGAGACCATTTTTAAAATGCAAGGGAGTGATAATGCTAGGAAGGCCAGGTAGTGATTACTTTTCATGGGAGGGGGCAATGGTGGGGACAAGGCATATGGAGGCCGTCCTAGGGTGTCTGGCAAAGCTCTATTTCCTGACTTGCATGGCATTTACAAGGATATTTGCTTCACTTTATAAAACTCCACTAAGCTACGTATTTGTTTGATGTGGTTTTCCATATCTATGTTTTATTTTACAATGAGCAAGCTTAAAAGAAAACAATAATCTCAACAAAAAGATACAAATACTATTACTGTGTAAAGAATACTAACCTTTGAGTCAGACAGGCGTAGATTTAAGGCCTGATTTCACACACACGCGTGCACACACACACACACACAGGGTGGGACCCTTGACTTCCCTGAGTCTCAGCTTCTAGTATGAAAAATGGTGATAATAGAACTTAATAGTGCCAGCCATCTAATAGATACTCCATACATATTAGCTTTACTATTTTCCCCTTTCTTGTCTTCTTAAGTGTTTCCTGGAATGTTTAGCATGGCTGAAACCACGTAGGGTTAGTTAGCAAAGAATGTAAGAGGATTCATGGAGGAGTCCTGAGCAGGATTACTAAATGACAGAGATGGGCTATTCACCAAAGGATGTGGTGGTAACCCAGTGGGGAGGGAGGAGGGCACGTGGAAAGAGCTGCTGAGCTACACATATTGAGCTCTGTGAGTGAGTTTGCCTGGAGGAGGTGACTGAGGGGCATTTTGCCAACCCAAATGCCCAGAGTATGGGAAGCAACACAAAGGAGGGAAGCAGTTTCCATGCACGTAGAGTCCATCGTCATGAGTGCAGTGAGAAATGGTGACCGCCCCTTGGCCTCAGTGACACAAGAGGGAGTGGGTGTGGCTTATGATGCTTCTAAACCCATGTTTGGGCATGGTTTCCAAAAGCCTGTTAACTACCAGAACGTACATCCTGTAAGTTTCCCACTAGCCCTTCAAATCCTCAACAGGGAAAAGAGCAATTTATTCCTGCATTAGAAATAGATTGTTCACTCTGGGATCGCTCCTGACAGGGGAGGCTTCTTTCATAGAACACTGACACATTACGAAGGTCTTCACCTCACACACACAGCCGACCACACCAGAGACTGCGACCCTAATCCAAGCTACAAAAGCTACAGAATAGGCCCACTGGAAAAGAAATACAGGCCCGCGCAATAATATTTACTCATGTTTACATTGCTGCTTATTTAAATGAATGCTCATCCTCACTGGGTTTCTTTTATTAATGGCAAAAACCACGATTACTTTTGCACCAACCTAATAGAATGTTACACCCTTCCTGGCAATTCCTATATCCTATAAGCAATCAATGAATAAGCTTGATATACAGGGCATGAATGAAGAAATCAGGGCTGAAAGTTGCCCTTTAGACATCAATGGCAAGAGAAAAACCAACCCAACCAACCCAAGTGAAGAGGCAACTAGGGAAAGCCAGATCTGTTGAATTAATTTAATTAATTATTTGGAATAACACGTAACTCCATTTAGCTCTTTTTGTGCACTAGGCGCTGTGCTAAGTGCTTATTTGCATTAACTCCTTTGACCTTCACCAACAACCCTTTGAGCTACAAACTCTTACAGGCTCTGTTTCACTGAAAGGAAACTGAATTCAGAGAGCTTGAGTAGCTTGCCCAAGGTCACACCACTAGTAAATGGCGAGACAGGATGAAACTCGTGTCCTCTGACACCAAAGTCGTATACTCAGTTCTCTCTCTGATGTCTCCGCTAAGGAAACCTGTGTGATACTAATTCAGGTTGTTACTCTGCTTCTTCTCATTGGTTTTTTTTTTTTTTTTTTTGAGAGTCTCGAGATAAAAAATGCCATTTAGATGTTATTCAGTGGAGGCATCTGAACCTGAGTGGACCCAACCAACCACCCCAAATCCAACTGAGATACTAAAGTGGGGTGGCAGCAGACGGCATCTTCCAGGCCACCAGCTGCACCACTCACTTCCTGGAAGGAAGAGGGCACAGAATGGGGAGCTTGAGGCCTGGTTCAGAGTCCGGTACCAGCACTGACCAGCCATGACTTGGATAAGTGACTGAACCTCCCTGATTCTGCTTTCTCATGCATAAAATAAAATTCTAAAATATTCTGCTTCGAGGTAAATTGTATTTCAATGGGTATAAAGTTACGATTACACAAGATGAGGATGTTCCAGAGAGATGCTGGACAATGTAGTATGTAGAGTTTGAAATGAGGTATTGTATACTTAAAAATGTGTTAAGAAGGTGGATTTCATGCAGTGTTAATACCATAAAAAAAAAAGAAGGGACACAAAAAATTTGAAGAGGTGATAGACGTATTTATTATCTGCATTGGGGAGAGAGTAACATGAGTTGTATACATTTGTCCAAACTCACCAAATTAGATACATTATTATGTGCAGTTTTTTGATATACTAATTATACTTCAATAAAGTGGAGGAAAAAATTCATGAAAAATAAAATATTCCACTCCACACTGGTTGTTGGAAAGATGAAATAAGATCGTGAGTACATATCAACCTGCAAATGCTCAAAGTTTGTCTTCCTCCTCCTTTATCCTGCACCGCCACGAACTTCACCCTCATACACAGCACGCCCATCTCTGACTGGAACACTGTCTGAGTAAAAGGCCGCTATTTTGTTTTGTTTGGTTTTGCTCCTCTTAAAGTATCCACACATCATCCCAAGTTCAGCACATCTGAGAATGTTTATCCCTACAGCATTTTCAAAATTGGTCCAAAATCTCCATCAGAATCTGTTCTGGAAATAGTGTCATTCCTCAGATAAGTTGTGGTCATGAGAAGACACAGAATGTTACAGACAGACTTCTCCCAATGCCGTCTGGAGACTGTCCCTTTGAACAAGAAAACTGCTAATTCAAAAAAGTCCCCTGCCTCCCACGGTGGAATGTAAAAGAGAGACACCAGCCACTCAGATGTTTCCTTCGGCTTCCTTTCTGTCCAGTCTGGGGGAAAGAGGGATTCTGGAGAGCAAAGCATTTCTTCTTTTTGTTTTCTTTTACGTTCCGGGGTACATGTGCAGGACGTGCAGGTTTGTTACATACGTAAACGTGTGCCATGGTGATTTGCTGCACCTATCAACCCATCGCCTAGGCATTAAGCCCAGCAAGTCCATATTTTTCCTGATGCTCTCCCTCTCCCTGCCCGGCCCCCCGACAGGCCCCAGTGTGTGTTGTTCTCCTCCCTGGGTCCATGTGTTCACATTGTTCAGCTCCCACTTATAAGAGAGAACAAGAGCAAAGTATTTCTTTGTTCTGCACCCAGCACCCAGCTGAAGAGGAGGAGCAGGGGGCACTGAGAAGGGGCATGTCCCACCCTGCCCAGGGTCTCCGGCTGGCACACATTTCCTGGTGATGGGCCAACACCTGTCTTTCCAAGACCTGGTGCCCTCAGATTTCACCAACCTCAAGAAAAGAAAGAGGAAATGTTAAATGCTGTCTAAGGTGTCTGCTTTACCTTACTAAAAGCCTTTATAGGAGATTATTAACTTCAAAAGAAAACTAAACTTATCCTTACTTCTTTCCCTCCCAAGCCCAGAGAAGGCCCACGCTGGGCCTGTCTGCATCATCAGGGGCCCCTGGGAAGGTGGCCAGGCCTTGGTTCCCATGCCTAGGTGCTAACTGACTCTTACACCCACTCTAGAAAAAGAAAGGGGTTTTTTCCTCCCTCAGAAGTACATGGCTTCTCTGGGTAAAAATACAATTACTATAGACTTATAGGTAAAGAATTGGAATAAAAGAAGTAGAATATAAGAAACTACACTGCAAATGTGTTAGCTTCTTAAGGGTCTCCAAACCGCCAAACTTTACCCTTAATGAGAAAATCCTGAACCCAGACAAAACTTCTCCAGTTCTTACGACTTGTTACCAATAAAGTGTATTTTTCAACATTTAGATGATAATATACAATGATTCCTACACAGATTTAACTGAGCAAAGGGCATGTTTCCATCCCTCCATTTGCATGTATAAATTTAATTGATGTGTGTAAATGTAAATGATGTTATTTTTAAATTGTATATTTACTATCAATGCATTGGTTTGGAGACTCTTTTACCTTAAATGGAGTTTTCACTCTTTGCCCCTCGGGATTTCAGGTCTAAGCCGTAGTCACCAGAGGATTCTCATGCCAGCGTCCCACACCTCCCAACCCTTCTCTAAAAACCACCATTTTCATCACATTCTCAAATCTCCCCTCATGGCTCTTGGACTTAGCTGTTTCTCATAGATGTCACCTCAAAATGGCCTTAGCTGCACTGCTCTAGTTCTGTGATCTCCCATGACCCAAGCTTGGGACTCAGGCCTCTGCCCAAGGCTGTCACTAGATGTTACACGTCCCAGTGCACCCCTGGCCTGGCAGAAAGCACAGGGGCCTATTCCTCAGGCTCTCGTAGGCCTGTCCGGAAGAATTCCAGTATTGGAAGGGGTGTGGTGTGGGCATGTTGTACCCCACAAAGAATCCTGGCAGAGAGACAAATCCAGGAGGGCACCGCTGTGGAGAGGCCATGCAGACTCAGCTCCAGCTGGCCCTGAAGGGGTGTGTGCTCTCTGCCCCCCGCCTTGTCACTGGAGAGCAGGAACCTGTCATAGGCCTCTCAGGAGACCCATTGTTGCCCTCCCAAGACCTAAGAGTGTTCGCATAAGTAAGTGCAATGAAGCCTCTCTAGTCCCTGCTCACAGTCAGCCTTCTGGAATGGCTCCTGTGCCCTCCTGCCTTCTCACAGCCTGGCCTGTTGGTCTCCTTCACTCTCAGGGACCCTCTGGTCATTGGTCATGCCTGAATCTTGCTCTCCTGCCTGAACAAGCTCTGCTGCCCTGTTTCCCCTGCTGCCGTTAGCAGCACTTTCCAGTTATGTCATAGGAAAGGAGATTTTGAGGCTGGCTTCCATTGGAACGGTCAGCTTCTGCCCAAAATCTGAGCAAACCGTCCTGAGGACCAGGCCCATCCTGTGTGAGACCATAAGACATTCCCAGTGGCCCCAGCCTTCGTCATTTAGTCAGGGCCTGTGATTAACACCACAGAGGCTGTTTGTATAGATCCTTAAAAACAAGCCAGCAAGATGCTGAATTACAGGGCAGTCCACCCCATCTCTCTGCTCCTTGACATTGCTATACTATAAATTAACGAGGTGTGTCCAAATGAAAATTCAAAACCAAATACATTCGTTAACAATCTAAAAATAGATGATTCCCTATGTGATTTTAAAGCCTGTAGGCTCTTCGTCCAATGTTGATTCTGTTGGTTTTGCTATAATAAAAACAAGAAAATAATCTTTTAAGGTTAATAGCTCTGAACAATTAGTATAAATAATCACACACTTGATATTTTCTGCAATATTAATTTCAGAACTGAGCCTCTATTTTGCTGAGCCACAGTATACAGCTAACTGAGATTTATTTTTCATTCTCATTTCATCCATGGAAGTGAATCATGATGTTTACCATCTTAGATCAATGTTCCCACAGCCATCTTGACTCTACTGGCCTGACTTTCAATGGTCATGTCCACAGGAGGCCACAGAGTCTAGCTGTGCTTTATCATCCAGACAAGAAATAGTCTTCCCCTCCTTAAGGCTGTGCAGAAGACACTCAACAAGTGCTCATTGGGCACACAAGTGGAGCACGACAGTGTTTCAGGTGCTTTAAGAACACTGGCACCCTGATTTTCTTAGTCTCAGGGCCTAGCACAGTACCTGGTCCACAGGAGGTATTCAATACTTAATTGTGCGTGTTGGTGTAGACACTGGCAGCACCTACACCAACAAATAGTCCCAGGTTAGAGACTATTCCTGCCCACCCTAGCCGCGACTTACATTTCCAGTTTCCTGTGGAAGCAGGATGAAGCCAATGGACTTAGGTATTGGTCCTGTTCATGGGGCCATAATAAAACCCCAGACTGAGGACTAAGGCCCAGTGCTTATGTCAGATTCCCTTATCCTTTATCTTTGGAAGGTAAAGGAATCCTATAAACCTTAGAAGAAATAAAATCTGACCAGATGAGCTTTATCCTGAGAATGTAAGGGTAGTTTAATATTAGTGAATCTATCATTGTAATCCATCACATCGAGAGGTCACTTAAGAAAAACTTCACCAAATGCTTTCAATGACAAAAAATCATCTGGCAATATGCTGCCTAGATTCTATTAGAAAGATGAAGAAAAGAAGGAAGGATGGACTAGTGGACACACAGACACATCTTCAATGTAGTCAAGATGATCTACCTTATACTACCAGTTACTATTAATTGCAAACATTAGAACTCAGAGAAGAATGCTTGCTATCACAATAACTATTTAACACTCTGCTATAAATTCCAATTAAACGATAAGATAGGAAACAAAAATATACATAATATAAGAGATAATATTTTATATGACATGTTATCAATTATATGTTTTATATTATATACATGAATAGATACAATACAGTGATTTATAAATATTACACACCCCAAAATACCAAGATGTTCTCGTAAACTTTGAAACTCACTAACTGCATTCAAGAGTTGTTAATATAGGTCGGGCACAGTGGCTCACACCTGTAATCCCAGCACTTTGGGAGGCTCAAGCAAGCAGATCGCCTGAGGTCAGGAGTTCGAGACCAGCCTAGCCAACATGGTGAAGCCCCGTCTCTACTAAAAATACAAAAATTAGCTAGGCATGGTGGCATGTGCCTGTAGTCCCTGCTACTCAGGAGGCTGAGGCAGGAGAATCGCTTGAACCCAGGAGGCAGAGGTTGCAATGAGCCAAGATCTGCACTCCAGAGCCTGGGCAACAGAATGAGACTCCATCTCAGAAAAAAAAAAGAGTTGTTAATATAAGATAAAGATTCAATAATCAATAGCTTTGTGAACATCAGTAAGAAACAGAGCTTATAAAGAAAATAGAAAAAAATATATATTCACAAAGCATTCATGCCACTGCACTCTAGCCTGGGTGAAAAAGCAAGACCCTGACTCAAAAATGTGTATATATATTTTTTTTTTCCACAGAAAAATCCTAAAAATAATCTTAACAATAAATATGTGGTATTTATGAGAAGAAAATTTAAAACCTCCCTGATAGACATAAAAGAATTAAATGAGTAGAGTGACCCAGCATGTTGCTGCATGAGAAGACTGAGGGCTGTAAAAATACCAATGCTTCTGAAATTAATCTTTCCCTCTATCAGAATCAAAACCAAAACATCAATGGGAAGCAGGAAATGGGAAAGTGGAAGAAGTGAAAAATACATCTGAAGCAATGAAACATGCCAATGGCCGGGTAAATTAGGAAGAAGAGTAATAAGAGAAATCTTACTCTGCCAAACATGAAAACATAAAGCCAATTAAAACAATATGATCCTGGCACAATAATCACTCTGCAGTGACGATTTGTTGATTACCAACAGAGAAAAAATGGAGAGCCATGAAACAGCCCTCGTACATATGTGAAATTAATGATAAAGAAACCATCACAAATAATGAGGTGGGGAGAAAGACTATTCAAAAATCTGTACTGAGAGGATTAGCTATTTTCAAAGAGATCAAGTATGAGCTGGAGTTCACCCATCGCACCAACATAAAATCCAGATGTATAAAAAAGAGTTAAATGTTAAAGACACAGAAAAACAGAGAAAGCAAGGAGGAATGGAGGAAAAGAAAACTAAGGGAAAGGGAGAGAAGAGAAAAGAAAAGTCACAAACTCAAACTCAAGGACTGTCTAAGCATAAAAGCAAGGGAAGAAATATTTTTTAAAACAGACAAATAGATCCGACTACATAAAAATTTTCACAAAATATTTTCATCATATTTTTAGATGAAAATCATTGCCAACCAATAAACCAGACAAAAAAACTGCCACTAGTCTGATAAAAGTTATAGATCTCTTATAAATCAATAGGAAAAAATACCAATAGCCCACTTTTAAAAATTCAGAGGAAATAAACAGCACCTCAGAGAATGAAAATTCAAATTTCTAAAAACTATACTAATTGGTAATCAATGAATATGCAAAATTTTTTAAATTGTGTACCACTTCACTCTATCAAATTGGCAAAATTCATGAATTCTAAAATAAAACAGTAATTTTAATGTAGTAAATGTGCATGCCATAAAATGGACATTCTCATACACCCCTGAGAAAAATGTAATAGACACAAACGTTTCAAATTGCAACTTGAATATACACATAAATAGCTTTTGGCTCTAGTAATTACACTTTCACCAATTTATCCTAAGAAAACAATCAGAGATATGGACAAAGATTTATGTACAGGAACGTTAATTATGCACCACTATAAATATATAGTGGTGAAAAATAGGACCCGATCTACAAGGGGAAGAAGGGTTAAATTTCTTATGGCTTCTATTGACTATACAATGGAATATAAGCAATATAATAGAGCTATGAAAAATCTTACTTTATAAGACTATAAAATGGATTACTCAGAATGTGTGTAAAGACCAAATATGTACACAGACACACAAAGACATAAATTGGAAAGAAATACACTAAACGGTAAACAATATCTATTTCTGAGCAGTTGGATCATGGGTAACTTTAATTTCTCCTAATAATTTTCCATATTTTCTAAATTTTCTAAAATAAATATATATTTAAAACATTGTCATGAGCTAATAACCATTCAGTGCTTATTCCATGCCAAGCCCTATTCAAAGTATCTAGTATGTATGATCTCAATTATCTCCACAAATCTATGCATTATCTAATGCACTCATTATCTAATGAGTGTTTTCATTATTCCCATTTTACTAATTAAGAAACTGAGACCCAGGGAGAGTAGATAGCTTACCTAAAATCACATTCACCTAAAGTGGCAAAGCCAAGATTCAAGCTCAGATCCTGTGACCTCCACACTAACCATCAGCCTACACCGGCAATTCTCAAACATTCCAGGATGGGACCCAGAAAAATAAAGATAGTAAAAACTCTCTTAAAAATCACTGAGGCCCACAGACAGCTTTTGTTTATGTGGGCTATCTCTATCAATATGTCTACCAATATTTACTGTTTAAAATATTTAAAACTGAGAAATGTTTTATTTAAAAATAACAATGAGAAACCCTTTACATGTTAACATAAATTATATACATTTAATTTTAAAAATCACTCTAATTCCAAAACAAAAAATTATAGTGACATTGTCTTATGTTTTTCAAATCTCTTAATGTCTGGCTTAACAGAAGAGAGCTGAATACTCTTCATATCTGCTTCTGCACTTAATTTATTGCAATATTACATGTCACATAGCATCTGAAAAACTCCGCTGTAAATTCTTGAGAGAAAGAGAGTGAAAAGTGTTAGAACTATTATCATAATGTTCTGGATCTTGTGAACCTCTTCAACAAGTCTTGGGGACCTCCAAAGATCCTGGAACCACACTTTGAGAATCACTGATCTACACTGAGTTTTTGAAGAAGGATAAACTGACTCTCTAGTATTTACAGCACACTATGCACTCATCACCCCTTCTGATGTTTGAAGGGCACCAAGGCAACAGTCCATAGAGGAGGGAGAGGCATTGTGCTCTGACCCGACTCCTTAGCCCAGAGCAGCTTCTAAAATGCCAGTCACCTCCAAACTACTAGCTGAGCCGCAACGAAAATTTGGGTCAAAATAGAGTTCTGGAACTCTGTTAACCTTGGACACATCAGATCAGAGGAGACAGAGACAGGAGATTAGACAGGCTGAGCAGAGAGAACCAGCCTCAAGGTGCAGGCGCTGCTGTAGACAATCAGAGGAAATCCATGTAAGAAGCTGAGCACTGTACCACGAAGTAGGTTGTAACAAGTCATTCGTTCATTCATTCATTCAACAAACATTTCTTGATCACCCACCAATTAAAGGAATTGTGCTTAAGGCTGATGCTACAAAGAGAAAAGGAAAATGCTGAATGAGAGTTAGATGGATGGACATAGGCACAAATGGAGAAACGATCCAGTCACTGCCCTCAAGGAGTTTACTGTCTATTGGAGGAGACAGACATGTAAACAAGAAATCAGCATGCGGGCAGCCAGTGCTTGAGCTGAGGTGTCCAAATAACAAAATGTGATTTTCAGCAATTGCCCATGTACACCATCACCTTGAAGTCTCTGGAAGAAGGCAGGTGGAGGAAGTAAAGATGGCAGGCCCTTCCAGAGGGAGAAGGAATGCTGGCGGGAGCAGGCCCATGCCTGGAGGCCTATGTCCTGGCTGGATGTGCGGGCACATGGATCATGGTAGGAGCCCGGTCCCTAGAATGAAGTCTGGCCTTGTGGCTTGGTTACAAGGCTAGGGCAGAGACCTAGGTACCAGAACTATGGCAGAAGATGGGAGAATAACAAGTAATCCATTCAACCTGATCTGATGGTAGGTTATCTGAACCCCTGAACCAGGGCTCCTAACATCCCTTGGCATGTGTCTTAGTCTGCTCCAGCTGCTGTAGCAAAAACACCATAGACCAAGGGCCCTAAACAATAAATATTTATTTTTCACCATTCTGAGGCTGGAAGTTCAAGATCAAGGCGCCAGCAGATCTTGGTGCCTGGTGAGAGCATGAATCCTGGTTCGCAGGTGGCCAACTACTTGTTGTATCATCATATGGCAGAGAGCAGAGAAGCTCTCTTGTTTCCCCTCTCTCTCTCTCTCTCTCTCTTTTGGAGACAGGCTGGAGTGCAGTGGTGCAATCTCAGCTCACTGCACTGTCACTGCAGCCTCGACTGTCTGGGCTCAATCAATCCTCCTACCTCACCTCCCTAGTAGCTGGGACTACAGGCATGCACCACTGCACCCTTTTAATTTTTTTTTTAAGAGATGGAGTTTCATCATGTTGCCTAGGCTAGTCTCAAACTTCTGGGTTCAAGCCATCCATCTCATCTGTCTCAGCCTCCTAAAGTGCTGGGATTCCAGGTGTGAGCCACTGCACCCACCCTGGTTTCTCTTCTTATAAGGGCATTAATCCCATCATGAATGCTCCACCTCCATGACCTAATCCCCTCCCAAAGACTCCATAGCCCAGCCTGCAGGGGAAGGCTAAATGGCCAGGGCAGACAGGGGAAAAGGCTGAAGAGCAAGGACCAGACTGGGGTTTTCCTTTCCTGCCCCAGCCTCCTCCACCTACCTCCCACTAGGCAGCTCTAAATTGTTAACCACTGTTAGCCTAACCATTGCTAATATTAAGTCACATTAAAATAAATGAAACAACCATTGCATGCACAGCCCAGAGCCCGGCATGTAGCTGGCTCTACCACATCTAAATCCAATCATTCATTCCTATGACAGCAAATCCCAGACACTGCAGACGTCCACTAACAGCACCCTACTGTACTTCGATTCCCAAAGCAACAAAGGCTGTCAATGTTCTTCGAGTTGGGGTATAAATAGGGTGAGACAATTTTCAGTGCTATGTGGGAAGAAGCAACACAATATTCTCAGCCTAAAAATAGTTGGATTTGTCACAGCAGTGTTGTTTTGTTTTATTGTTTTGTTTTATAGAAAGCCAAGTCAGTTCTTTTGCATTTCTAGGTATAGAAAGGATTTGCAAACTGTAAATACAACCTAATGAGCTCAAATGCTCACCTGTATAGCACTTTTCACACCAATCTCCCCAGGTACCTCACCCAGAAACCAGAGCACCACAGGTGTTTGAGAATGTGGCACGTTAAACAAACATATCTCAGGCCACAACCAAAAGCAGAACTCCCCAGCCCACTGAGGCTAGAGAGGAAAAAGACTCCATAAACAGCTACTCCCACATGTATGAGTCGACAGTGCTGGCTTGCTGCTACATTCCAGACCCCTCTCAGGGTCTGCCCCACCAGGAGAGGCACACAGGATGCCTAGCTGTATCAGGGATTCACTATGACAGTAACGAGAGTTGTATTCTCACTGCTTTGTGAGATGGAAGACCAATCAAAACCATGACAAATAAATACATAAAAAGAAGCTGATCATCAATGGGACAAGGGAAAATCAACTGCCCCAGCCCATCTGGCTTCTCAGATTTGAAGGCTTTATTAAACTCGGTCAGCCTGCCCACCAAAGAAAGAATATATGCTATCCAAACAAATTTTTTTTGGCTGGGCATGGTGGCTCACACTTGTAATCCCAGCACATTGGGAGGCCAAGATAGAAAGATCTCTTGAGCCCAGGAGTTTGCCTGGGCAAAACAGCAAGACCCCATCTCTACAAAAATAAATTTTAAAAATAATTAGCCATAATGACACACGCCTATAGTCCCAGCTACTTGGAAGGCTGAGGCAGGAGGATTGCTTGAGCCCATGAGTTTGAGGCTGCAGTGAGCTATGATCATGCCACTGCACCCCAGCCTGGGCAACAGAGCAAGACCCCCTCTTAAACTAAAATAAATTTTAAGAGATAGAGGCCCCACTGAGTGAGAGTAAGGCTATGGAGATCAAAATATGCCCCCAGGTGATACAGTCATGGACAAAACATCCTGAACCTCGTATTTGAGCTGTGTTTATTTTAAAAAGAAGGGTGATGTCCAGGCTGCAACTAATGAGAATTGCTGCAAACTAGAAGATCCCACTACTTCCATTATATCTTTCGGCATGACCACAGTCCCCAAATCTCGGCCTCTTAAAAGCTTAAGCAAAAACATAGAGCCACTTACAGCAGGGAGGGAAGACAGAAGAGAGAAGGAAGAGAAAAACCTGAAGATCAAAAAGATTTTCCTGCTTTTGAGTGACCTTTATCCGCTCTCTTTCCCAAGGTAAATTTCATCTCTGCTAATCTCAGAGGCTAATATTAAAACTAAATATGACAAACTGCTTCATATAACATTTCTCTCTATGTGGCCATCCTCAAGACTGTATATTTACCTAAGAAACTCCCACCGGACTTCCAAATTGAACTAGATCTAACAGCCCAAGAAAACAGGATTACCGCTATTTACATATGACTTAATCACACTTACAGACTGGTTGTCCTTTAAGCAAAACTCCGTTTTGGCAGATGTGCATAGAAAAAGCCATCAGCTCCAGGACCTATTCAACATGCTTTCAATTAACTAAAGCTGCAGCACAGTAAATAATACTTCAGGAACCTCAAAGAGAATGCATCTTCCAAAGGGCCCCATCTTATTGGAAGTGGAGGCATATTTAGGCACTGGAAACACTTGGCTCAAAATAATTAAAGGAGAAAATGGACTTGGAAAACCTGTTTACTTTAGATCTACTTCCCGACTTTGACATGCTGTATTAGACCTAATTAAAATTGTGGGTAGATACTCGAGGAAAAGTTTCCTGAAAGATGCAGGAAACCACATTAGATTAGAAAGAATTTAAGTATTTTCCTTTATGCAGAACTCTGGCTTATATACAAAATTTGGAAGAGTGAAACCAATTCTTGGAGTACTGAATTTAGAGTGGAGGCAAAATAGGTTAAATGGGCCTATCCAATTGCAAGAAAAATCTAGCAAAAAAACTAAAAAGTAGAATTAACAAAGGGAAGAAAAAGATGAACCTATAGAGACAGTAAAAGATCAGGGACTCGTGGGGAGGGAAGAATAGTGGAGCACAATTAAAACCACCTTGTATGATACTGTATTGGTGGATTCATGACAGTATGCATTTTTCAAAATCCGTAGAACAGTAAAACACAGAGGGATCCACAATTAAAAAATGGACTTTAGTTAATAAAACGTATCAATATGGGTTCATCAATTGTAACAAATGAAGCACACTAATGCAAGATGTTTATAATAAGGAAAGTTTTGAGGAGTGGTATATATGGGAAGTCTACTCTCAGCTCAATTTTTTTTGTAATATTCCATTCTCACATTGCTATAAAAAAACCCCTGAGACTAGGTAATTTACAAGGAAAAGAGGTTTAATTGGCTCACGGTTCTGCAGGCTGTACAGGAAGCATAGTGGCATCAGCTTCTGGGGAGGCCTCAGGGAACTTACAATCATGGTGGAAAGCAAAGAAGGAGCCAACACTTCACATGGCCAGAGCAGAAGGAGGTAGGGAGTTGCCATACACTTTTAGACAACCAAATCTCACGAGAACTCTATCAGGAGAATAGCACCAAAGGGGGATATCTGCCCGCGTGATCCAATCACTTCCCACCAGGCCCCACTGCCAATATTGGGGATTATAATTCGACATGAGATTTGGGTGGGGACACAGATCCGAGTCACATCGTCTGTTTAAAAAAATAGGGGGTGGAGCACAGAATGGGAGAAAAGGAACACTGAAGTTAGGTTACACGACCAATATAGAATCCAGGTAGGAAAGAAAAATAAGCTATAAATCACTGTTGGTTAGGGTATAAAATGCCCAGGCAAGGCATAGAGATCAGCCCAGCCATTAGGTGCCTTATCCATTCTATTTCACCTTCTCCAGGCTTAGCACTGCCTCAGTATACACATGTTCAGGATCGGGAGGCAGTGCTGTTTTTGCTGTATACTATTAACAGAGCAATAGTAATTATCAATGAGTACACTTCAGAATAAGTCAACAAAAAACTTGTCTCCCAAAGGTATTTGGAAGAGACACAAACTTAAAATCTATTTTCCTTTGGCCCGAATGCTGATACTTACATTAAGAAACAGAAACAAAATAAGGAAAATGCCTGTTTGTTGTTTGCGTTGAAGAGTCAGTTTCGTCACATGCCCTGAATTTAAAGACCAGCAATTTAAATAGCTGACACTTCCCTACCTTCCCTGCTGGTTTTCTGACTTTCTTAAATTCCATATAGGCTGGTGCCATGAGCACTGATACATACTTGGGCCTAAATTAGCCAATTTCATTAAGCATTTTTAGAAATCTAAATTAAATATATGGCATGATTCAACATTTCCATTATTTTGACCTAATTTTTCTCTTAATTTCAGTTCAAAATTTATTATAAAATCTAGTTAGCCAGTTTTTTCTGTTTATTAACTATAATAGCTAACACTGAGAGCTTGGTTCAAAAACTAAGCACTGCCCTAAAACACAAGAAACAGCCAAATAGTTCTCTAAATGAGCAATTTCTGTCTTATTCTCACTGCAGGAGGAGTTTTAAGTGGATGAGAGGAAGCATTTTTCCCTTTCTCTTTCCTCTCTGCCTGGGCATGAGGATGGGGGTTGGGATGGGCTTTAGTATCCCTCCTATTTGGGGGACAAAGGAACAGAAGTTGGCCAGGCACCTGGAAGATGACCCTCCCTGGCTTTTGTTTGCAAAGTGTAGTCTTAGAAGAGAGGTTTCCCAGAAGATGCTGCCGGAGGAAGAGGTGGCTGTACCTGGGCAGATCCAGGTAAGGGGGAAATGAGGATGATGGAGAAGAGTGGGTTCTGCCAGGGACCAGGTCCATGCACGACTCTGATGAGGCTGGACATGGGTCCTGGAGAGACAGGACACTAAGAACTGATGCCTGAGGAGCCAGGGTAAGATCTCTACTTCCCTCCTGCCATAAAAGAACAGAACTGCCAACCTGGGCCAAGACGTCTCATTGACACTGTTGGTGGAAGACTATTAGAGCTCCTTCTCCTGCTTTCTGGCACTTTGCATGCCTGAAATGTTAGCTGATCCTCCGATGGGAGAAGGCAACCCGTGCCATGCTGGAGCTGGCCTCACCAGCTCAGGAGAGCCAATTATTAAACTTGCAGGAATTTTGTGAGCCAGTTGTTAAACCCAGCCGTCATTAAAACTTAAATCATATAAACTTACCATTAAATTATATTAAATACAAAGGCAATAAATACTCAACACTCATTGCTTCCTAAGCGTTTGACTACACTTTACTATTGTCCATGTTCTTGGTGTCATTTACCTTTCACTATTATCTACATGATGGAAATGCTGTTACAGGGTGAGATCGTGATTTATCATAAGAAATACATATTTGATCTGCATCCCAGATCCTGTCACAGAGCTCCTAAACCCTTGAAATTTCCTATGTGATAGGAGCATCTTTTCTTATTCACAGCAAGCCTCTCTCACCCACACGAGTTTATGCTAATGAGGTGGCGTTTGGAAAGCCTCTAGATAACAACACGATTGGGGCTGGTTGCCAGAGGAACCGTCCTTGTGATTCGAGGTTGGAGCTTCCGGCCCCACTCCCAGACCTCCAGCAGAGGAGAGGGATGGGAGAGTGACTTAGTCACCAAAGGCCAGTGATTTAACCAATCACACCTACACAATGTAGGCTTCGTAAAAATCCCAGGGACAGGGTTCAGAGGGCTTCTAGGTTGGCAAACAGGTGGAAGTGCTGGGAGGGTGGGGCTCCTCTAAGGGGCATGGAAGCTCTGTGCCCCTCTCCACGCCTTGCCCTGAGCAGTCCTCCATCTGGCTGTTCCCGAGTAGTATCGTTTTATGATAAAACAGAAATCCAGTAACCAAACTGTTTTCCTGAGTTCTGTGAGCCATTCTAGCAAACGAACAGACCCGAGGAGGGGTTCATGGGAAGCTCCGATTTACAGCCCGGGTGGGTCAGAGGCACAATGACAGCCGGACCTGCAGCTGCTGTCTGTGGTAGAGGTACCCTCGCAGGACTGAGCCCTGAAGCTGGGGGCTCTGATGCTGCCTCCAGGCAGAGTGTCAGGATCAGTGCAGGATGCCCAGTCTGTGTCCACTGAGAAGCATAGAATTTCTTGATGTGGGGGCAAAAAACCCCAAGTCTGGTGTCAGAAGTGAAGACGTGTAGGCAGAGCAGAGGTTAACGTGAGGAGTCGTCCTCTCCAGGGGCCTGTAGTTGTGTCTGAATAGCATAAAAAAATTGAAGAAATATTCTTCCAATAATCAAAACTATTATGCAATTCAGTAACAAAGATGTTCCCATCTAGTGATGTTGTAAACTAGTGAAGCTTTGAAACACATCTTCATTCTTTCATTTTCACACAACTCATTAACATAAATGAAAATATCAACCAACATCAGTATCAAAACTGTACTCAGGGAGCCAGTGGTTACACGTTTAGCAACAAACCTATCACCGAAGCCAACTGAATAATCCTATTGAATTGCACATCATTTTGGTGAATGGCAATGCCTTTCTGCTGAGTGTGTTCGGTTTTCGAAAAAAGAACCTTATACATTTCTTGCAAGCGTGGTGGAATATACTCATAAGGTGCCAGTTACACTTTACAACCATCTGATGATTCTGGTGTTATCAACCCCACTTAATAGATGAAGTAATAGAGCAGATAAGAAACATCACACAATATTGACTCTAGGTTCAAACCTAAGTTATTGAAAAGCTGAGTACAGTCACTTGAAAAATATACTTTTCATAACCATTTGAGAAAGTACTCCATAATTTTATTTTTTATTTTACTTTAAGTTCTAGGTTACACATGCACAATGCGCAGGTTTTTTACATAGGTACACATGGGCTATGTCGGTTTGCTGCACCCATTAATTCATCATTTACATTAGGTATTTCTCCTAATGCTATCCCTCCCCCCTCCCCTCACCCCACGACAGGCCCCGGTGAATACGCCATAATTTTAAAAGGAAAGCAACTGTGAACTCGGTTATACTTTACAATAAGTTTATATTTTATTAATGACATTATCAATATATGTTTGAAAAAGTGACATATGAAACATTTACCCATTCCACAGGCATTGCTTGGCACAGAATCACAAGCCCCTGATAATAATTCAGCAGTGACCTCAGAGTCCTCCGGCCAAAGGCTGGAAACTTGGGCAGCAATTCTTGTGGCTCATCTTAAAGATTCTTCCTGCTGAGGGGCCGATTCTCTACCACATACTTGACCCCCGACTTGGCTCCTTCCCCATGAACCATCACTCACCATCTTCCTGGAACTCAAGTTGGCTTCATCAGATCCCCCCAGCCTGATCCCAGAGTTGGCACCCAGGGATGTCCCTCCACCGTGGGGGCCTTCCACGCTTCGGGAACCTCTCGGAGTGGCTGGGGTTGGGAGGTATTCCTTACAAAGCCTCAGTGGTGAGAGAGCAGGCACTCCAACCTTCCAACAGGCACAGACACTCCAGCAAGCAGATTGGAGCCACCAGGAGTGAGGGAATTCAGAGGGAAGAGGGAAGAGGCCTCTGAGAACAGTTCTAAGCTGATAAATTACACAGTCTGACTCAAATGATATCACCAATCTCTGTCACAGACTGAATCCCACCACATCCTCACCTTCACCCTCACCCCAGAGAGTGCTATTCCCTGGGCCAAGATCAGGCCCAGAGACCTCCGAGGGTGGGCAACAGGGGAGGGCAGGAGAACAGAATGACTGGAAGCTTCTGCCCAAGAGGCCAAAGGGGGACTCTGAGCAGTTGCAGGGCAGGGAGGCCCTGGCAAAGGTGCAGCCATGAATCCAACAGCCAGGGCTCCATGAGCGAGGCTGGGTGACATGGAGAGTCAGCCTGGAGGGTCCAACCAAAGGGCTCAGAGGTACTGCTGTCAACAGTCTTCTGCAAGGTGCTGCCCAGGAGGCCTGGCCGGAGAACTGAGTGTAAAGAGACGATACAGGGCTGAGTGAGATGGCTCACGCCTGTAATCCCAGCACTTTGTGAGGCAAAAGCAGGTGGATCACTTGAGGTCAGGAGTTCAAGACCACATGGCCAACACGGTGAAACCCTGTGTCTACTAAAAATACAAAAATTAGCTGGGTGTGGTGTCGCACATCTGTAGTTCCAGCTACATAGGAGGCTGAGGCACAAGAATCACTTGAATCCAGGAGGCGGAGGGTGAAGTGAGCTGAGATAATGCCACTGCACCTCAGCCTGGGTGACAGAGCGAGACTCTGTGTCAAAAAAATAAAAGAAAGAAAAAAAGAAAAAAGAAAGAGACTATACAGACAGTGATCAGAATTACCTGGCACAGAAAAATCAGGTTTTCAGTTTTGCTCTCTTGCTGTCTTAAGTCATTAATTGAAATTTTGATAATAATGGACTGAAAAAAAAAATACATTCCATGGAATGCCTTAATCAATTATTTAATTCAAGGCGGCAAATAATCTAGACCAAACCAATGTGCAGAGGGCAGTTGCGTTGTTCTTTGTCTGGAGCTTGTGCAGTGCCAAGCCTTTCCAGGCAAATAGCCCCACACAGCCTAGATGCCTCCGTGCGGTTGTGAAGTTCAGGCGTGTGTTGGTTCACTGCAGATAGATGGGGAGGATGGAGTACCCGCCATCCCCAGCCCCCTTGACCACCGACACCATCCAGGAAATAAGAACACAGAGGAATAAGAGGACCAAAGCTATGATGCTGGCCTGGAAGCTTGGATGAGAAGAATCTTCTCAGTTTTTTTTGCCCTTCCAGTGAACAAACGTCCTATCAGAAATTAATCTGTGCAATGTGTGAGAGTCTTCTCAGTCACATTTTGCTTTCCAAAACCCTACTTAGTCCTTTGAGGTCTCACACACACACTCCTATCATTATGCTGAAAACCCTTTCAAAAGGGTTGCCCATGATGGCCATACTGCCAAACCCACTGATCCTTTTAAGTTCTCATTCCTCTTAGTTTCCATAACACACGACTGCCTCTCTGTGCAACCAGGCCTTTGTCAAAAGAAAAACCCCAAACGATTTGATATCTACAGCATGGAGACGGAGGAAGAGGCAAGGGGCCAAGACCACATTAGTGGGCATGTGTGTCTGACATGTGTTGCCAAAACAGAAACTGGGAAGCTGGGAGGGGAGCGTGGTCTGGGGGGAGTCTTGGATGTGTTCAGCAGGCTCTTGGAGACCTGGAGTCCAAATCAGGGTAGGGGGCCATTCGTATTTTTTAAAAGTTGTTCAAGTCATGGAAGAGAGTGTGGCCATACCAAGAAAAGATGTAGGCTGCCTTGAATTCAGCTTCCCTCTGTTCAGCCCAGTCCTCGCCACTGACAAGTATTTTGTAAACACTGTTTATTTTCTCCAGTTCAAAATCAACTCTCTTGATTCAATTCTAAAGCCCCTTTGCCTGGCATTCAAGGCTCTGTATAAGTCTCTAATTTTCCCACTGGATTACTCACTACTCTGAAACAGCTCATGCCTTCTGGGGGCTCACACCTGCCTTGAGCCAGACCATTTCTCCCATCTTCACGGGCTCCACTTTTCTCCTGCCTCCAGCCAGGCTGTCTTCCCATCACACTCCTCCTCCCTCTGCAACTTGCGTTCACTGCGCTGCCTCCATATTAGGTGTCAAGAGGATCACCTAATTCATTACTGAAACGTCACCTTGCATTTCCCCTCCTTCGTCTGAGTGCACCCTTTTCCCAATCAAATTGGCAAGAAGGTTGTGTCTTGCGTTACTTTTTTTATGATCTCCTGAAACATCCAACATAAAGCAACTATACACTATATTTTTGATGGATGGATGGTCCTAGAGTTTGGATATGTTTGTCCCCCAGATTTGGTCTCCAATGTTGTTGGTGGGGAGGTGGAAGGTGTTTGAGTCACGGGGCCAGATCTCTCATGGTGTGGCTTTGCAGTAGTGAGTGAGTTCTAAAAGGAGCCTGGTACCTCCTCTCTCTCTCTCCCTGGCCCTCCGTCCCTCCTCCTCCTCCTCTCTCGCCATGTGAGCACAGCACAGCCAGCTCCCCTTCCCTCCCACCAGGAGTGGAGGCAGCTTGAGGCTGGCACCATGCTTCCTGTACAGCCTGCAGAGCCATGAGCCAAGTCAACCTCTGTTCTTTATGAATCATCCAGCCCCAGGGACTCCTTTATGGCAACACAAATGGAAAAGACAGATGGATCGCCTGACATGGGGAAATGCCTCAGTAAAACTAAAACGCTGATTATTTGCAGTATTGAAGGAGTTTCTCTTTACAAAATTAGTCATTACATGTTTTTTGTTTTTTGAGATGGAGTCTTGCTCTGTCGCCCAGGCTGGAGGGCAATGGCACGATCTCTGCTCATTGCAACCTCTGCCTCCTGGGTTCAAGCGATTCCCTGCCTCAGCTTCCCAAGTAGCTGGGACTACAGGCACCTGCCACCACGCCCGGCTAATTTTTGTATTTTTAGTAGAGACAGAGTTTCACTATGTTGGCCAGGCTCATCTTGAACTCCTGGCCTCAGGTGATCTGCCCTCCTCGGACTCCCAAAGTGCTGGGGTTACAGGTGTGAGCCACTGCGCCTGGCCCATTACATGTTTTTTACTATGGTATAATTGGCATAACATAAAATGTAGCATTTTAACCATTTTCAAATGTGCAGTTCGGTGGCATTAAATGTGTTCACAATGTCACGCAACCCCTACCACCTTCCATCTCTAGGATTTTTTTTATCATCCCAAACTGAAACTCTGTACTCATTACGCAATAACTCCCCATCCCCTCCTCCCAGCCCCCGGTCACCTCTATTCTACTTTCTGTCTCTATGAATTTGACTACTCTAGGTGCCTCATATACGTTGAATCATACCCTATTTGTCCTTTTGTGACTGGTTTATTTCACTTCGCAGAATGTCCTCAAGGTGATTACATATTCTTTTAGCAGGTTCCCAGCTAAACTTAAAATACATTCATTTCTAAATATTTGATAGTTGATATGGCGTGAGCATTGACTACAGGGGAAGAAATCAGGACCAATCAGAACAGGTGCTAACCACAAATGACCCGTACCCCAGCCCTGCCTCCACCACACGAGAACCCTTCCAAGGCTTCTCAGAGACATGTCTGTTCTGGAATATAAGGAACACTGCATCTTAAAGTAATGTAGCGAGGAAACAGCATTGTGCAAAATTCTTTATCATCTCACTAAATCTTCACAACAACTAATGGCTTGGACCTGTATTGTTCCCATCTTAAGCATGGGGAAAGCAAAACTGAATGAGACCAAGCAATTTGCCCCAAATCACAGTCAGGAAATATTGGAGCTGAAACTCAAACACTCAAACTGATGTCTATTGACCCCAAATGCCACGTTCTTATACACCCACCACAATCGCCCCAATACCCCCACCGAGTGTACAGAAAAGCAAGAAAGTCAACCAGATGGTCCCAAAAGTAGAACCTGAAAGTGGTTTGTAGCATTTAAGTTAAGAACACTGAGAAGGTGACTTTAAAACAGTCTGAGTGTATAAATTGCAATCAGACTATTAAAGTCTCTTTTAAAGAGAGAACAAATGAGCTTCAACAGTACCAGAAGGAATTTCATTATCAGATGCATTATCTAAGGGTTGTGAGTTCCCTTCCCAGGAGATGGCAGGAGCAGGAGGGGCTCGAACCTGTCTCGATGCAGCCTGCCTGGAGGCAAAGAGCTAACCTGGTGATCTTGTGCAACTCTCCCAGCAGGAGAAGTCCCCGAGGTAACACTTGTGAAGCCTTTGAGTTCCTGGAAGAAAGGCTCCCTAGAAACACTAGGCAAGTGTCATAAATATGCATGTGTGTTTTATCCTGTTATCATTATAGTCCTACTGGGTGGGGTGCATGTCTGACACTCTCAAAATTTAAGGGGCAATGTCCCCTTTGATTACAGGGCATTCTGCAGTGAACTAACTTCCAAACCATCTCCAACTTGCATTCAAGCAGCATCTTTTAACTTCAAGCCAAGCGGTTAGTTTGCCTTGAAGTGACTATTTCACCGAGCAGGGAAGATGCCGGCTTTTCATTTCCATTCCTTTATAGCTGGTTCTCTATGCATTGCCTCAGAGGCTGAGTTTGTCAAGATAAGTAAACAGCAAAACCCAGTGTGCTTTTTCTCAGGACGACCCCGTCGTCTGAGGCAGATTAAGTGTAGTGAAAGCTGACATCCAAGCCATCCTACCTTCGGAAATTCTCTGGGAGGAAAAATGAACCCAAAAGTGTGCCCATTCCAGGTGACAGGGAGCATCTAAATGTTGCAGGCATTCCTAGGGGCAAATTTATGTCAGATGTAGGATTTTTCTACAGCAGACATGTCACCTTTGTCTTACCTTCATTCGGCCAAACCTACTCACTTTGTAGTTCATGTTCAATTTCTGCTCTTCGTGTGGTTTTAAAGGGACTCCACGTGAGTCCACATCCATTTAGTTTGTTAAGAGGGTTTGTTGGCCACCACCATTGTGTCCACCTTCTCCTGCACGCTTTCTACTGATGAGCCATCACCATGCAATCCTCAATAGAATGTAAATGGTGTTTTGAAGCTGCATGCATTCTTTAGCTTCTGAGGTCACTTCATCTCAGGGATTATCCAGATTTTCATTGTCTAAAACAGTTATTTTGTATGTGGCAATTATATAAACATCTGGATGAATCCAGACTTGTATTTGCTAACTTTTGTACCAAATGCAGTTGGCTCCAAAGCATTGGTATATATGGGGGCTAAACGGAAAATAATTTCTGTATGAAAATGTGGAAATTCTGTCTTCTAAAAATATGGTTAAATCTAATTCCCAAGATTAACACCTTCCTAGTATTTACAGAGCAGCCGATGTCTACAGTGGACCTCTAACCCTGGAATGTAGCCTTTTTTAGCATGCAGTCAATGTATTGACAAAAGCTGTAGGCGGCTTTTGATCTATTGGCATTTTTGTATTAAGAGGAGTCAGAATATATATACACACAGCCACCAGAATCAACCTTGACACAGTCAAGTCAGTTATTTCAGCTACCTTTTCCATGAAGTACAGGATGGGACCACAGAGAACTCCTAATGGTGTAGCAATGCACATTGACCATTAAGATGGATGGAAGGTCAGGATACACAAGCCATGACTCAGTCATTTCTGCTCTAGAGACACGTCCTGCACCTTCTCCCAGGAAGACATCAATTCATGTCTACTTCTATACCACCAAGCCATTCAGTGGCTATTGTCAAAGTGCCTGAATTAAATGGGTGAAGAGAATCTCCCAGAAATTCACCCCAAACCCATACCAAAGCCAGACTTAAAATTCACAGTTATTATTCAGCGAGTGGATGGAGCACTGGTACCCTGCTGCTGGTGAACATGGAGAGCTCCAAAGTTGATATTGTCTACTCTAGTGTAGCACAGTGGGCACGCAGCAACCATGATTATGCAGAAGGGGGTAAGAGGGACAAAAAATGAGATACGCAAATTTGGAGACAACATTGTCTTATGCAGTTGAACCATAAAATTGATATCTGTAGACTAAGGAGACAGGCAAAGCCTCCTAAAATTTGAGAAAGAGCCATAGGCCTGTATGACATGACTGTCACCTGGTGATTAGGTTAAATATCTAAAGAAAGGCTTGATCAGTCAGGAGGAGTTTGACAATCATGAAAACACAGAAGGCCAGGCATGGTGGCTCACACCTGTAATCCCAGCACTTTGGGAGGCTGAGGCGGGCGGATCACGAGGTCAGGAGTTCGAGACCAGCCTGACCAACATGGTGAAACCCCGTCTTTACTAAAAATACAAAAATACAAAAAAAAAATTAGCCAGGCGTGGTGGCAGGTGCCTGTAATCTCAGCTACTAGGGAGGCTGAGGCAGGAGAATTGCTTGAACACTGGAGGCGGAGGTTGCAGTGAGCCAAGATCAGGCCACTGCACTCCAGCCTGGCTGACGGTGCAAGACTCCGTCAAAAAAAAAAGAAAGAAAGAAAAAGAAAACACAGAGAAAGGAGCACCTCCAGTCCTGAAAGAGGAGAGCCACCTGGCCTGTGGATACAACGGCTAGTCTTGGGGGCAGGTCAACTCTGAGGAAGGCAACTGGGCTGCTTCTCAGAGCTTAATGCCAGTAAGCATTCATGTTCTTTCACCAGGCCCCCTGTTAGAAGTGCATGCTCACCCACACGACCCGCTGACTACAAGGCACCTTCCCAGGTCATGTGCACGTTTCAAAACAATAAACTGGCATTCTGGTGTATACATCAGCCTTTTGGAGTTTAACATTGGTTAATGTCAACCAGTTAACATTGGTTCATGTTGGTGCATCCGGGGAGACACATCCCGTTCGGTTAGCATTAGGAATGCTATGGCAATTAGAATAGGTACAATAAGAAGTAGGAGGTTGGCTATGGGCACGTTGTTAAGAAGAGGAATTGAACCTCTGCCCATAAAGTTGTAAATTTTACGCAATTGCCGGGCTCTGCCGTCTTAACAGACTCTGTTCTTGAGTAAGTGTGGGTACGGTGGTAAATTGAGATGATACCATTTACGGGGGGAGGCCCGTAAATGCCTCCCTTCAGTGAGGCATTTACTGTCTCACTGTGAAAACTGCCTTCCTTCATCGTTAGGCTTCAACCCCCTTTTTAAAGCAATGAACACGCATTATTTACAAAAGTGGGTAAACATATACTAATACACTTTCCATTACGATGCCTGAAACACTATGATGGCACCACAAGGGCAACAATAAGAATAAAATTATCCTATTTGAGGAAAAGATGTTAATTAAGTAAATTATTTTCTCACCTGACTGGCTTGTCGGCAGTTGGAGGGCAGAAGCTGGGTTTTTATATTGGATATATCTCTACTTTATGTTTATTTTGTCCTTTACAATGCCTGGCCCAGTTCTGGGTATATGCACATGCAAACATTTGTTAGTTTATCAAGCAAATGAACAACAGCAGCTGAACAATACATTGCAACCGACCGCAACTATGGGATGCGAACTAAGCCAAAAGCCTTGATGCATGAAGCCAAAGGGCAAAGCCTCAAACACCAGTGGGCCCAAGAGATTTGCTCCTGACTCCTAAAGCCTCAAACACCAGTGGGCCCAAGAGGTTTGCTCTGGACTCAGGCCATCCTGTTCCCAGCAAGCAGGCACCTGGCTCAGATGCTTGATTTCATTCAGCCACATTGTCTTCAGCTCCCCAGTGCAGTATGTGAAGGAGCAAGGAAATCTTGGTACCGGGAGGTCACTGAGGGCCCATCGCTTACTCCTTCTGAGCTCACTGCTGGTACTGGGACAGGTTGGGTCCTGGGGTGTCTCTGTGTCTAGATGCTACTGCAGGCGGCAGCAGCATTGACGGAGCATTGTCAGCTCTCCCTCCCTGCTCACTGGGAGAGAAAAGATTTTTCATTTCATACATCATTTACAACTTGCTGCCGTGATTCTAAAAAACCAGTGGGCTTCATCAAGTTAATGAGCAAGAAAAACATATTTGGTGAGTGTGTTAATTTTTTGAAAGTTCTGCAGAGCCCAGGACATTAGGCAACATGCATAGGGCAGCTCGGCACACCGGGGAGTCCCCTCCCCCCTAAATTTATTCTACCCAGCTATGGGGGTACCTGCTATTGACTAATAAGTCAGCAAATGTGTCTTAATAGAAATTCAACAACAAATACGTCACTCACTTTGTGTTCTCTGTATATTTTCATGTGGGAACATTTGGGACCGTGAGCAAAAGTTACCAATGGCCCAGCTGAGTTTCTCTTTCTACACAGGGCAGTCTCTACTACAAGAGAGAGCAGCATGGAGGAACAGCTACAGTGAGAATTCAGATCAGAAGGAGAAGGAATCATACTGAATCTTAGTGTGTGGGATTTCTAAAATGATAGGAGACTATCTAAAGAACGACGCAGTAATGAAGGGGAAAGACTAGACATTTGGATGAAATAGCTCTGTCAGAGAACCAAAAGAAGATACTGAAATAAGTCTTCATTTATTAAAGGATCCTTTTAGAGTGCTTATTCTTCTCTATCAAAATCGGGTACTTTACGCTGGTTAAATACATCTCTGAATTAATCTGCCTGTGAAACCATTGAACCGGGAGAGTCACATTACATTTTACAGTTTCTGTCTTTGAGTTTCATCATAAATTAGACATCTGAGATTATCCCCAGCAAGTTCATGGTCTTGGCAGAACTCACACCCAGACCTGAAAGAGTATGTCTGCATTTTTCTCATCTCTTTTCGACACACTGGAGATGTGTGAATTTGTGTCTTATTAGAGATGGGGAAATGTTTGCAGCACTATTAAATGGCAACTATGTGAATTGAATTGAATTTTAAATTGAAACACAAAATGATAGTTACTACTTCAGGGCTTAGACTATTCCCCTTTCTACACAAAATTGAGAATGGATGGGGCAACATTTTAATATCTCATAAAATTCATTTAAAGAGGGTCAATTTCTGGACTCCCACCTATCACGAAAATGACCAACTATAAACACACACATGTACACACAATTCAAAACTCCTGGAGACCATAAATAGAATAGATCATTTAGATTAAGCAAATGGCATAGGAGACAGAATACTTTTGCTGAGAATCATTGCGCTAAACTAGTTGTTTTCTAGATAAGACAAAATGTAAAACAGTCTATTTCAGAAAAGATACGAAATAAGTATCACTATTTTGGGGAGGAACATAATTGTGTTTTGTTGGGAAATATAAATCCAGGAAACACTTTTGTATTTTGATATTTAATGGCCTTTTCTATTCCTTCTTGCTGTGGTGATAAACCTCTACTTGACAAAGAAATGCAGTTTTCAGTAACTGAGGCTGCAGCCAAGCTATCAGCTCAGGAAGGTGCAGGCTCATTCCACACCCAAAGACAGAATATGTGTGTGGCACCCGGTGATTGTTTAGGAGTGTCAGTAAGAAATGTCCTGATTTGCAAAGCATTTCTGGAGAAGAGATTTGAGAAATGTGACCCACAAGAATGAGGCCAAGGAAAGCAAAGAATCAGCACTGCCTTGGGTGTTAAATGCCTGCCTTGGGTGCCCCACTTCTAGGAAGAAGCACACAGCCTTCCCTGCATCCTCTCAGCATCCCCGTCACCTTCCTGGGCTGTACAGGGCAGGCAATGGAGCCAAGTGTCTGCATCTATACAAGGACCTTATGGGCAAGTACCCCATGTCCTCCAGCACAACCCTCAGACCCTAATTAACTCCCCCATCTAAACCTTAGGCTCACTTTCCACAGCTCACAGTAGTAAATGTTTGCAGGTCTACACTGTAAAAGCAAGGCCCAGCCAGACCACTTCACAGGAAACCTCAAAATTCCCAGCAGAACCTATACACAGGTGGGGAGAAACAGTAACAAACGAATGATGGGGACGTTGGTCAAGAGACAGCTGCCTGGGGCAGGACCCGACTGCAGTGGGGAAAGAATATTCTGGAAAGGCTGGAAGAAAGGCTCTGTCCCTTCTTCACTGTAGTAGGAGTCTTAAAGGCCACCTGGTCCAACAGCTGCCAGGCAACCAAAACGCCCCACCCCACCCAGCTTCCAGCTCTGTAGGGACACACGGGAAGGTGACCCCAGTGAGCCACACTCTTGCATCCTCCCCTCCCGAGTACAGACAGAGCCTGTGACTTGCTTCCAGCCCAGAGAAATGGCAGAGGTGATTGGACAGTCCTTTCTGTGACTCTGTCACATTAAATTCAACTCCATTTTAGCAGACTAGAATGAGAGATTCTCTTGCCGGTTGTGGTAGGCAGAGTAACTCTCCCCACCCCACCAGAGATGTCTATGCTCTAATTCCAGGAGCCTGTAATGTTACATCACATGGCAACAAAAGCCCCTGCAGGCTGGGTGTTGTAGCTCGCACCTGTAATCCCAGCACTTTCAGAGGCCATGGGGGGAGAAGGCCTTGAGCCTAGGAGTTAGAGACCAGCCTGGGTTACACAGGGAGACCCCATCTCTACAAACAAACAAAAAGAGTCTGCAGATGTAATTAAGGTTACAGAACCCCAAATGTGAAAATTATCCTGGATTATCCAGAAGGGTCCAATCTAATCACAAAAGCCATTAAAAGCAGGGAATGTTCTCTGGTTGGAATCATGGAGACGCCGGCAAAAGGAAGGCAGAGACGTTTCCAGCATGAAAGGGATTCAACGCACCCTTGCTGGTCCTGAAATGCGGGACCCACGTGCAGGGCTTCTAGGAGGCGAGGGTATCCCTCAGCTCACAGCCAGCAAGGCAGTGGGGACCCAGTCCTACAACTGCAAGGACCTGAATCCTGCCAACAACCTGAATGAGCCTGGAAGCCACTAGCTCCCCAAAGCCTCCAGAAAGAATCAAAGTCCTGTCTACACTTTCTGGGACCTGGAGTCGAAAAGCCAGCTGAGCCCAGACTTCTGACATGTGGAAATTATGAAATAATACACTGGTGGTGTTTTTGGCCACTAAATGGTGGTGATTTCTTATAGCAGCGATAAAAAACTAATACACCGGCCACGAAGAAGTAGGCTGCCATGCTGCAAAAAAGCCAGCTGGCAAGCAGCTGACAGCAGCCCCACCTGACGGCCACCAAGGAAACAGAGCCTCAGCCCCCCAGTCACAAGCACCTCAATTCTGCCAGCCACCACAGCAGCTGGAAAGAGGACCCCAACTCCAGACACGGATTCAGCCCAGCCAGCACCTTCACTGGAGCCTTGTAAGGCCCAGACCCCTGTGGCTCAGCAACTGTGAGATGGTGAATGTAGGTTGTTTTAAGCCACCAAGGCAATCTGTAACTAATGCACCCCCTTCAGGACTGTGGTCCAGGCTGCTTCCTGACCACATCATCCCAGCACCTAAACTCACTTTTTCTAATTCAGGATTGGGACTTGTGTGTAACATATAAGAATTTAGGATAAAGACCTAACATGACTGAGCACCAATTACATGCAAACATAGAGTCTCTCTTTCCCAGCACATTTTAAATCATGTCTGTCTAAGTCTAGAGACCACGCCCTGCTCTTCACAACGGCGATACACTTCTCAAATGTGGACGCCACGCAATAATGAACTCCTGTTCATGGCATTTGCATTCAGAGTCTGCCTCTGAGTCATGCAAGAACACCATCCCATCGCTTTGCTCCAAATGTTTTCCTCCTAAAGTATCTTATCCAATTTGTAGCCACCAAAGAAATTTTCCTAGAAAAAAAGCTATCACACCAGGAAGACAGTCATATACTGTGTCTGGACTAGACTACGGCTTGGAACGTCCCTTCCATCTTGAGAGTCTGTGATTCTAACTCCCACTGGGGCCTACTTGGAAAACACGTTTGGTCTCCCAACATAAGTATCTTTGAAATTATTTTTGAAAGGACAAACATTCACCTGCTTGTAAAATCAGTCCCATCGCTTCCTAGTGGCCCCCGAGGGTCCCCTCCTTGCTTGCTCCACCTTGAAGGGTCACCTAGTCCCCCGTCCACTACCGCTAACACCCAGACGCTGCCTCTGAGCATCTGTGAAGGGGAGGGAGGATGCTTGGGAGAGTGCTGAGCATGCATTTTCTCCACTCTCCGAACTTTCTTTTTCAAAAGAAAATTTCTTCAAACAAAGCAGTTACAAGTCCTTAGTCCGTTGAAGTTTGAAAACAAAGATATCTTTGAGTTTTCTAAACACATACTAAAATAAAGGTTATTTTTTCACTTTCAAAAAAGACAGATCGATTCTTTTGGCGTTCAAATACAGCCAGGCAGAATTTAACTAAAAACTTTCCCGAGTACTATTTTTGCAACAGAGGCCAGCCACCAATATTTTTTAATCTGAAAGAGGTTATTTTTTCTTTCAAAAAAAGAAAAAGACATCATTGGAAGACAATGAACAAAGGAGCTAAATAGGAAAGGCTTGCCAACCATATAAGTGCCTAATATTAAGATAACATCAAATGAATTGTTCATACCTTCTCGTTAGATGTCATTTTGGGATCCAGATGATAATGTTAGTGGAAATCACTCACACTTCCTTGAGGTAGAACAGCCACTAAATCTCTTCCCATTTCAGAGATATATTGTACCATTCTCCTATTTTTAGTGCCCTACCCTGCCTCTTTTTCAGCATAATCCGGGTGGGTGAGGGGGAGAATGTTTAATCTCCCTCCACAGGCACCACATGTGTTATTTTCTAGTACCTATGTCTCATTATCGGTGTTATTTTAATCATTAATTTCAGTGTAACGGCAGGATTTGCTTCAGTTGCATTTAAATCATAATAAAGCTCAATAAAAAGAAAATGAGGAAGAAAGAGAAAATATCATTCGGAGGACTAGCCAAACACTCCAACAAAAGAGACCTTTTTAATTTTCATGACGTGATAAAGTGATAGCCTTTTGAATAGACAATTAGGCTCATAAACCTGATACACCAAGGGCTTAATTCACAAACACACATTGCCACTAATACATTTGCAGAGTAACTCTCTGCTTAACAGGATTAGAATACAGCAAATCATTCATTATTAATGGGAATCTGCATTGCCTAGGTCTTCATCCCTAGATAGACCAGTATTTAAATCAAATAATTTAGCACAATTTCAGGAGCTTATTGCTGCACATAGGTTGCTCATGGACAGCTCTGTGTTTCCATGCATAGAACTAGGAATCATTACTAGGGGCATTGCTAACCTGCCTTAGCTCCTGTTACAGGGAGGATTTCGATTCCAGAAGCTCTGTGCCTTGCCCTGTTCACCCATACAATGAGAAGGAACCACCTGGCTGGTGCATCTGCTTCCAGAGAGGCTGTGAGCTCCACCATATTCCATGCTCCCTGTTTTCACTTTAGCTCTGGTCAGTGATTTTGCAAAAATGCAGAACACATGTCACAAGGGGATTCAGACAAAACCTCGTCTAGAGCAGAGATGGAATTTACAGAGTTGTCATTTCAGCAGTGTTGTCAAGGGCGTTGTCATCCCACCGAAAGGACACGGAAGACTTCCCTCCCTTTGCCTTACAGTAGGTGTAGCTGCCTTTACAGGCAGGTGTACCAATGTGAGGTGTAACAACTCAGGGAAGGTGACACTGGAAAGTGATTCATCTTTATTATTGAGCGTCTAATTTGTCCCAAGCCTAGAGTCACCAACTGTCCCAATTTGGCTGAGACTAAAGGGTTTCCCAGGGCACAGACTTTTAGGTTTAAAACCAGAACATTCCTGGGCAGACCGGATGAGCTGATCATCCTAGCAAAGCAATGAGCTTTCCATTATTTCATGATACCTTCAACCTTATGAAAGAGATATCCTTATGTTTAGAGGTAGAAAATGAGCCTCAAAGAAATTAAATAATTTTCTCCTACATCGCAGCCAGTAGGGCTGGTACGCAATCCCAGATCTCTCTAACTTCTCTGCCCATCACCTCCGGTTCTTCTCAGGCAGCCAAACACCCAGCCAACCTGTAGCACCTTGCTACTGTGGCTGCTGCTGTAGGCACCCAGGTCATATGCTTCCCTGCCCAAAGGAAATCAAGACTTCCTAGGACTTAAACAAAAGCTTCAGATGATCTGAGAACTAACCAGACCTATGAGCAAGGCTTAACTAAGGGCCAATTCAATTAGCACCTCACTGCCACCCCCGAGGGTCCTGCAGAGACTACTGTCCACTGGAAGAAGAATGTACAGCAAAACCACTGCAGATATTTTCAAAAAAAAAAAAAAAAATCTCTCCTACCCTCAACCAGGAGACTTTGATTCAGCAGGCTTAGTAGTGTGCCTGACACACTTAGTGGTGTTTTCAGATAAAGATCTCAAGTCCCCCACATGATTCATGAAGCCTTGATACCCGCCCAGTTCTGCTGCCCTGGGCTAAATAAGACTGAGGCTTACTCCACAGCCTGGTCAGCCTCTGGGCCTCATAAATGAGCCCAGGGTAAGTCCAGGCAAGGCTTTCTCTGCGGTCAAATAAACCACATGGAGGGAAAAGTTTGGGGAAGAAAAAGTATCCCAGCTCTACTATGCAATGTTGGGTAAATCCCTTCACCTCTTAGTGCACCCACATCCTCATTCGTAGCATGGGGATCACACTGTTGCCCACCCAAGGACAGCACACATGAGGCACTGGGCACATCGACTCACCTGGCGCTGACTCCCACACTCTTTCCACACTGGCACCCACTCAACCTCAACTGAGATCCTCAACAATCACATTATTTTGTTTCAAAGAGGTTCCACCCCGTAGGCAGACACCACGGAATCTCACCCATTTTGTTCTGGCCTCTGTACGGCTGTCCATTCTCATCTTTGGAATAACAGTGCCCTTCATTCCCTTCCAGAACCCAGTCCAGCAAAAGAGGCCTCAGTGGGTGCAACTCATAGATGAAATTATAAACTGAAAACATTGTATGTTAAGTGGTGGGCTGTTCTCATTTGAAAAGGAGTGTTTGCTTTACAAAAGGATTACTGAAAGTTTTTAAAATAGAGCCTGAATTGCATTTATCATTAGTTTTGAGTAACAGTAAGTAGTAGTATATTTCCAGCCTCTGAAATCTAGAATCCTTAAGACCTGGTCTCAGGAAGTTTTCTAGTTTATGGAAGAAAATAAGTTTCCATGTTCATAATTCCCTTCCCTTTTCAGTTTCCTTTGCATATTGGCCCCTCCAGGTCTTCGGGACTGATTTGGTGGCCCTCTCCCTTCATCCCCTGCATTTTCTCATTCTAGGGGATCTCATCCATTACTGTTTTGTATCTGCACCAAGACATCATTTCTGGACGTCAACGGCCAATCTTGACCTGAAGGTCTACGTGCATGTCCAAGGTGATGTGCCTGTTATGGGTTGAATTTTTGTCTCCCAATAAAAGATCTTTTGACATCTTAACCCTCAATACCTCCAAATGTGACCTTACTGGGAAACAGGGTCATTGCAGATATAATTGGTTAAGATTCAGTCATAGTGGAGTAGAGTGGGCCCCTTATCCAATATGACCAGTATCTTTATAAAAAGATGACCTTGTGAAGACACAAAGACACAGAGATACCCTGTGAAGATGGAGGCAGAGGTTGGAGTGATGCTGCCACAGGCCACCAGAAGCTGGAAGGGGTAAGGAAGGAGCCTCCCCTCCAGGTTTCAAAGGCAGTGTGGGCCTGCTGACGCTGTGATTTCAGATTTTTGGATGCCAGAATTGTGAGAGATTACATTTCTGTTGTTTTTGAGCCACCTGCTTTGTGATCCTTTGTTATGACAGCCCAGGGGACTCACACAGCTCCCAGCCTGGACTCTAGTGTCCCCCTCAGGAAATGGGACCTCCTACACTCAGTTTCAGGTAGCAGACACCTGGGCACTGTCCTCGGCCCTCCCTTTCCCTCTCCCTCCCTGTGTATCCAGCCCAGCCCAGGTCCCTCCAATCCCACCACTTCACTTACAGCCACCTCCACCCAGTGATGGTGTAGCCTCCTGACTGGCTTTCATGTCTATCTTGCTGCCCTGGTCCACCCTCCACAAGCATCCCGATTGGCCCTTCTCCACATGGGTTCACATCACCGCACTGCTTATTAACACTCTGTGGACTCCACTGCACGTCAGGTGAAACCCACACCACCACAGAACTACCTTGCATTGCCTGATGTCTGCTGTCCCTTCTGGCTTCATCAGCTGCCACCACCGTCCCCTTGATCATAAAACTGGACAATGCTGGCCTTTGGGTCTTCCTTCATGTGGCTGTTATTTTTGCCAAAGTCTCTAACTCCCATTTGCCATTAGGTCTCAGCCCAAAAGCCACTTCCTCAGAGAAGTGCCATCTGTTTCCAGCCCTCCTGCCACATAATCTCTCTTCACAGTCCCCGTTTTCCCCTCGCGGCATTTGTCACAGCTCTTAGTCACATATTTATTAGTGTGGGGGTTGTTCACGGGTGCTGTTGCTTTTCATGTCTTTCTCTCCCTCACTGTGGGCTCCATACGAGCAGGGACAGTATCTATTTGTTCTCCTGGTGTTGGCAGAGAGTAGAACAATGCCTGGCTCCTAGGAGGTGTTCTATAAATATTTGTGGAATGGTCCAGCCTAAATGCCTCTTTTTGTGGCATGATGAGGTATAGGGATGTGTTGATTCTAAAATAAACACTATTAACGCTGGCACTAACTCTGCTCACACCAGGAGGGCTGTGAGAAGGCAGAGCTGCTGAGAAACACCACATCAGGACTGCTGCCTAAGGAGGCGTGGCCAGGCATCTGAGTCCTTGATTTTCTGTGGCCTACAGGGTGCGTCCGGCCAGATTCCTGATGTAAGGGATTACCTGATTGGTTCTTGATGCTTTGCAAAGCTCTTCCTCAAGGATGACCTTACAGAGACTCACAACAACCCCATGAGGGAGGTCCCATAGGCGTCACTATCCCCATTTCCCAAATAAAGACAGAGGGGCAGGGCTCACGCAGCTCATCAGGCCAGGTCTGGTCTCCTCACTGGGTAGAGAGGCCCTTAACACAACAGGAAGTACTGCAGCTTCTAAAGAATGACTTTTTGACAAAAAGCAACATATGAATCTAGCAAGGAATTGATCCTAACATATGGGATTATCATCTGGGTTCCATCAGAGCCACCCCTGTGGTCACATGATCATTGTCTAACAGTGTCATCAGAAGCAGCTGGTAGTTATCCATAACTCTTGGAACAAGAAGAGAAACACCAGCCTGAGTGTTTCCTGGCTACAAGTCATTAAGGCAATTTCACTTACTCATTAAGAATTAAAGAATTAGGCTGGACGTAGTGGCTCATGCCTGTAATCCCAGCACTTTGGGAGGCCGAGGTGGGTGGATCACCTGAGGTCAGGAGTTTGAGACCAGCCTGGCCAACATGGTGAAACCCCATCTCTACTAAAAATATAAAAATTAGCCAGGCATGGTGGTGGGCACCTGTAATCCCAGCCACTTGGGAGGCTGAAGCAGGAGAATCGCTTGAACCCAGGAAGTGGAGGTTGCAGTTGGCTGAGATTGTGCCATTGCACTCCAGCCTGAGCCACAAGAGCGAAACTCTATCTCGAGAAAAAAAAAAAAAAAGAATTAATTAGACAAAATACTGGATTTTTAAAACCAAATCTGTAAGAAAAACAAAAATTTTAGTTCTAACTCTCTAGTGAATGGGAGTATCCTAACGAAATCAGCATCTCCACCTGCAAATTGAAGTTACCTCTCTGGGACCTGCAGTACTCAACTCATCTCTCCTCTGCCTTTCCAGGCAGAAGATCCAAACTAAAGCAGCAATGGGTCAATTTGCCAGACTTATTTATGTGTCAAGTGCCTTTAATGATAAAAAAGGATTGATCCTGCATTCAAGAATGACTCAAAGGTGATGATGGAGGCTGCCCTGGTGATGGCCTCATCCTGGCAGGACAGATCTGCCTGCTGCTGTTAGAGGCAAAGTGGTGGCTAGGCACAATGGCTCACACTTGGAATCCCAGCACTTTGGGAGGCTGAGGGAGGAGAATCACTTCAGCCCAGGAGTTTGAGACCAGCCTAGGCAACATGGTGAAACAACATCTCTACAAAAAAAGAAAGACAGAAAGAGAAAGAAAGAAAGAGAGAGAGAGAGAGAGAGAAAGAAAGAAAGAAAGAAAGAAAGAAAGAAAGAAAGAAAGAAAGAAAGAAAGAAAGTTAGTTTTAATTATCTGGGCATGGTGGTGCATTCCTGTAGTCCTAGTACTCACGAGGCTGAGGTTGGAGGATCACTTGAGCCTAGGAGGTGGAGGCTGCCTGAGCAACAGAGCAAGACCTTGTCTAAACAACAAAAAGAAACAGTGAGCCACACACAATGCTTTTCTGTTGACTCCAGGCTTTAGCAACTCTCGAAAAGGTCTCCCCTGCTCACAAAACACTCACCTTACTGACAATCACTGTGGTCACTCAACACCTCTCAATCCAGCCACTCCCCCCATCTCCAATATCACTGCCTCAGCTCTAGCCATCATCTCTCATCTGCATTGCCACCAAGGCTGCCAGCCGGGTCCCCAGCCTCCTCACCCCTTTCCAAGTCAGATGTGTTTTCAAACATAATTATGCGACTCCCAAACTCAACTGTGGCTGAAGCACCTGGACACTGCTGTGACCATCCAGGGCTGGCACAGAAGTTTTTGAGGAGAAAAAACAGTACTCAACATCTGCCAGGCACTGCCCCAAACTGCCAGCTCAAGGTAGCTCTCACTTTCCTCATTAAGTCAAGCTACATTCCTTTCAATGATATCATATGTGTGTGATGCTGGGTTTTCCAGACTGCTGTGATAAAAAGTAAGCACCTTCTTATATACCCAAAGGAAGTGAACACAGGAGCTCAAAGAGATGCTGGTTCACCTATGTTCACAGCAGCACTATTCACAATAGCCAACAGGTGGAAACAGCCCAAATGTCCATCAACAGATGAATGAATAAACAAAATGTGGTGTATCCGTACCATGGAGTATTACTCATTCTTAAAAAGAAAGGAAGAACTGAAACATACTACAACATGGATGAAAACTGAAAACATGCTAAGTGAAAAAAGCCAAACACAAAAGGATAAGTATCATTCCACTTATATGAGGCACCTAGCACAGTCAAAGTCACAGAGACAGAAAGTAGAATAGCGATTGCCAGGGGCTAGGGGAGTGCAGAATGGGAAGATATTGTTTAATGGGTCCAGAACTTCCCTTTGGGGTGATGAGAAAGTTCTGGAAATGGATAGTGGTGATGGTTGCACAACATTGTGAAGGTACTTAATCCCATTAAAGTGTGCACTTAAAAATGGTTAAAATAGTAAACTTCATGTTAGGTATATTTTATCACAGTAATAAAAAAATACATACCATGCAGAAATCCAGATGAAAGAAGAAATGAAGGTAGCAGTGTTCCAAAGTTTGAGAAACCATGTGGTGCCCAACTAGTAAGTAATTGCAATATTTAAGAATGCAATGAAAATTTTTTTCATTTAATTTACATTCATTCATTTTCAAAAAACCACTAAGTTGTTAGAGCATAAATACTTCTGAGGCTTTTTGAATGTGCTACTTCATCAACAGAACTGTTGGGTATTCTTTTGCTTTAAAGGTACCTTGGAAAGGTTGCTGACACTCCAGTGCTATGAATTGAGACACCACCTATGAGATTTACAAAACAATCCTGAATCTCACCCACTTTCCAATTTACAGTAAGAACAGGGGACAGAGGAACATGTTAAATGACACCACAAGGAAGTAGTCAGCAAATCTAAACTGTGGGGAACACAGGACAAAGAAACCCTGTTCTTGAACAAATATACTGCACAGAAATAAAAAGAAAGATGAATTAAGAAGCATATCAATCAATTGCAATATATATATAATTATTGGATCCTGATTCAAATAAAGTATAAGAATATTTTTTAGAAAAATCAGAAGAAATTTAAGAACCACCTGGATGTTTGATGTTATTTAGGAATTGTTAATTTTTTGATACAATAATGAAATCATGGTTCTGTTTTTTCAGCAAGTTCTCGTCTTTCAGAGATACACGTTAAAATGTTTTTAAAATGTTTTTAAAATGTTATTAGGACCTTGCTTCAAAATCATCTAAGTTTGGAGATGGGAAGGGAGTGGTAGAAGAGATAAAGCCAGCTGTGAACTTATCAGTATGGAAGCTGGGTAATGGGTACATGGAGAGCTCGGGATGAAGTTTGGACTTGGGAGCAAGGCACCATACCCCCGCCCACATACTCTGGCCCCTGACACTGAACCCCAGGCTGGTCCCCAGACTCACAGCTCCCTCTCATCTTGTGGCCTTTGGCAGAGCCTGTTTCCTTTGCTCTTATTCTCTTCTCCCTCCTCTTCATCTGAAAACCCTCCACATCACACAGATCCCAGCACGGCCCCTTCTCCTCCTGGGATACACTGTCTAACACCCTCTCCATCACTGGTTTGGGAGCTTTTCCTCAATGCTTTGTGGTCCCTATCACAGAACTTTGTAAAATAGACTTTAATTTCCTATTAACTGATTGATTGGACTGATGTCTGGTACATAGTATATATTCAATAAACATTTGTCTAATTAAGAAATGAATGGCTAAACAACTGAATAAATGTTATTATAATTACAGATCATTCTCTCCTGTGCCAGTTTGCCATCTACATAGATACCATTATAAAGCTTTTATTGCAGGGAGAAATGGAGTTTCTCTCCCACCTGGAAGGAAGGACCTGAGAAGGCACCTGTAAGAATGAAAAGGCACGCATATGTAAGGCCACCTCACTGTGTCACAAGTGGAGACACAAGGAATTGAGCCAACAACACAGCTCCCAGAAAGGCAAGACCCTAATGGAGGGTAACAGGGTTAGAAGGGGGCCACTCTGGTTATGGAAATCGTGACTGCAGAGAAATCCCGGGCTCACTCTCCAGATGCTTACCTGACTCTGAGCCACTCCTGGGGACTCACACGTCTCTTCAAATCCCCTTCCAGGCTGAACCCTGGTGTCTGGCAGGCATCCACCCCGCTTCATGTGTTCATTACACAAGAACGAGTTACCGCTCACTGACTGCACTGAGCCTCACCCAGACTGTGTGCTGGGCAGTGCGACCAATTCAAACGTGAATACTGACAAAGACAAGACAGGTGCAGACACAGCCACACGGCAACACAGGGCGCACTCAGGAGCGGGAGGGGGAGAAGGTCAGGCAAGTGGGGAGATGGTGACTGAGCTGGCATCCTGCCAGGTAAGCAAGCCAGGACAGAAGCCCAGAACCTGAGCCACAGACCACGAGGGGTGGCATGGGACAGCTGCCTGGCAGCGGGTGCGAGGGGCTACCTGAGTTGGGTTTCCAGTTGGACCAGGGAAGGCTTCCTCCTGTGGCAAGTGCAGAGGCAGAGTGGCCACGGTGCTGTCGGTGGCCCCGTCAAGGCAGGTTTTTCCCACCCTCCCCCCTTGCTCAGATGGGAGCGTCCGGGAGTCAGGGCTGCAACAGCCAGGCGTTGCCCCCTATACCACACAGTTCAGAGGAAGGAGAGGCTGTGAGGTCTATCTGCTGTCTCCTCCTGGAGCTCTCTCTTAAAGGAAAACAAAATCTCCCCCAGAAGACCAGCAGCCAACTTCTGGTCAAGCCACCTGGCCAAAACTGGATGGCAGCCCACCCTGGGTTTGGCGAGCACACAATGGCAGGTCCACGTGGAACCTGTTTGCCCGGCCGTTAGCCCTTTCTGACTCCTGGGTAGAATCAGGAGATGTCTTCGGCGGTCTCCCACAACCCAAGCAGGCTGTGAACTGAAGAAATGGCCCGGGTTGCTTCCAAGCAGAGGTCTGGAGATGAGACAAGACTTGCCCTGAGTTCCGTTCCCACCACGCCATTTCTCCGCCCCACTGGGCCTGGGGCCTGGCTGCACGGAACAATTTCCCAGGCCCCACCCATATCAATTACATCCAAAGCTCCAAGGGTTGGGGTCCAGGCCCCTGTGGCTTTGTTTTTTAACCTCCCAGTGGATTCAGATGCACAGTGAGGATTGAGGACCAGTGCTCTAGGTCAGTGGCTCCCAAACTTCAACAGCATCAGAGTCACCAGAGGGCTCCTTAAAAATACAGATCCCCGGCCGGGTGTGGTGGCTCACGCCTGTAATCCCAGCACTTTGGGAGGCCGAGGCAGGTAGATCACCTGAGGTCAGGAGTTCAAGACCAGCCTGGCCAACATGGTAAAACCCCATCTCTACTAAAAATACAAAAATCAGCCAGGTGTGGTGGTGAACGCCTGTAATCTCAGCTACTTGGGAGGCTGAGGCAGGAGAATCACTTGAACCTGGGAGGCAGAGGTTGTAGTGAGTGGAGATCGCACCAGTGCACTCCAGCCTGGGTGACAGAGCAAGACTCCGTCGCCAAAAAAAAAAAAAAAAAAAAAAAACAGATCCACAGCCGGGCATGGTGGCTCACGTCTGTAATCCCAACACTTTGGGAGGCTGAGGCAGGTGGATCACCTGAGGTCAGGAGTTTGAGACTAGCCTGGCAAACATGGTAAAACCCTGTCTCTACTAAAAATGCAAAAATCAGCTGGGTATGGTGGCGGGCATCTGTAATCCCAGCTACTCGGAAGGCTGTGGCAAGAGAATTGCTTGAACCCGAAAGGTGGGGGTTGCAGTGAGCCGAGATCGAGGCACTGCACTCCAGCCTGGGTGACAGAGCGAGACTCCATCTCAAAAAAAAAAAAAAAAAAAGGTACAGATCCCCACACCCCACAACCAAGTTTCTGATTCAGGAAGTCTAGGGTGGGGCCTGGAATCTTCATCTCTAACAAGCTCCCAGGCAATGATGATGCTGCCGGCTGAGAACCACTGCTTGACCCAATCTCCATCCAATCATTAGCCCTTTTGGAGCCTCTCCGCCTTTCTCATCTGTGAAATAGAAACAAAACAGCTGCCCCACCGCTGTCACTGGAGGGATTAAAGAGAACATCCACAAAGCACCTGGCACAGAGCTCACAAAGTACACAAGGCACTTAGCACGTACTCAAAAAACAGAAGGCTCTATTATTAGTCACGTTACAATGGAGGTGTCGGTGTGCTGTACGCGTGCAACCCTGCGCTGGCCCAACCTCCCCCCACCTAGTATTTTTTTTTTTTTTTGCCTTCTCAAAATGTGGAAGCACCAAAAAATAATGTGCATTCCTGCTTTCTGCACTGATTCTAACCCTCTGGAGTTTTCTTATAGAATGATGCTTATCAGAGGAAAAACATCTGTTCCACTTTCTTTAATCTCTAATTTATCTAATCTCCCCGTATAAAATAGGTATACTGCTAATGAGTAAATTCCTGCCAAGGGAATGAAAATGCTTGTTACAATTACTTATTCTGCTCATTGACTTTACCCTCTGTGGTCCAATATCACACAACATAAATATAATGGATGGGCCACTTTTTTCTGGCATCTTCATCACCGGCCACTAATAGAGAGCCTTTCAGAATAGAAAGTTGTCATTTTCCATCTCTCTACTCGAAGCACCAGACACAAGTTTGCCAGAGTAAATCTCCTCCTCAGACAAGTGAGTGTCCTCACCCAGCCCAAGGCACAAGCCCCGAAGAATCCTGTGCGGTGGCGACGGTGATGGAGAGAGGCCACCAGAGGGCGCAGAAGAGCAGCAAGGCTGCCCCCTCCAAGGCCGGCGACTCGGCCACCTGGGCCGCCAAGCCCTGCATGGGGTGTTTATCGTTGGAAAGGGTGTTTTTCAGAACCTATAGCACCTTGGTGGTTCTTAATTTTTTTTTAAGTTAATAATCAAATACGATTTGCTCCCATGTGTTTATAAAAAGTAAGCCAAGATGACATTACTTAAAAGAACAGAGCTAGATCAAAAGAAAGTGAATGAAATTTGAGAATTGTGGCGCTATGGGGGTGAGGTGGGGTCGTGGAGGGCCATCTGGAATGAATGCCTCATTTTACAGAAGAAACAAGGATAGGACGAGTAAACAGAGGGCCACAGCCAGGCCCAGGCCCCGGCTGCTGGTTCTGCGTCTGCTCAGCCACCAGGCTCGGGCAAAGCCGAAAACGTCAAGGACCAACAGACAGGCCATCAGCCCTCGTCTCCTCTCTTTTCCATGTCTCTTTTACCCTGGGAAAAAGAGAACTGACGTTTCATATTATAACCTGAATTTGTACCATGACTTTCCATGGTTATTGGAGTTTTTTTGCTATTTTTATTGTGGTAGAGTATAGACAACATAAAAATTTACGATTTTCACCGTCTTTAAGGTACAATTCAGTGGCATAAAGTACATTTGCATTCTTGGGCAACCATCACCAACCATCCATCTCCAGAACTTTTCCATCGTCCCTAACGGGAACTCTGGACCCATCAAATTCCAGCTCCCTAATCCCCTGGCCCCCAGCCCTAGGAACGCCCATTCTCCTTTCTGCATCTATCAATTTGCCTATTCTTGGAACCTTACATAAAGGGAATCCTGCAATATTTGTCCTAGTGCGTTGGCTTCTTTGATGTAGGACGATGTTTTCAAGGTTCAGCTGTGGTGTGGCAGGTGTCAGAACTTCCTTTTATGAATGAATAAGACTCTTGCACCTTTGTTCTTGATACCCAGAAAAATGCTGCAAGGCAAAATGGAGGGGCAACTCTGGTCTTCATCTTTCAGATGAGGACTCTGAGCCCGGCACTTACCTGCCCACATCCATACAACGTGACAGCAGATCTTGGACTCACATCCAGGGCTCTTTGCCCTCCTTGTCCTGGGATTTTTCCGGGTACAGACAGTGGCCTTCTGTCATCGCTCTCCTGCACACAGACATGGAGAGATGCTTCCTTCTCAGGAAGGGCATTCAACCCACCTAACAAACACACGTGCGGCTCCACTGCGGAAAGAAGGTGAACCAAACTAGAAAGAAACAACTCCGTGTGGTAACGTTTGCATAGATTATACCACCCAGTCACAAAGCTCTTCTACACACGGGGTCTCAATGTTAATAAAAACTTAGCTGGGGACAGGGGTGTGAATATTCTATCTCATCCCAACTGAGGTTAAGACAACAAGCCACCGTGTATGCCAAGGCCCTTTAAAGTCCCGGCTTCAGCTGAGAGCACTCAAGGGTACAGTGGCTGGATGTCTTTATTCCAGTGAAGTTTCCTGGGGCCATAATTCACAGAAGTCCTCTGTCCTGGGGCCACTAAGGATTGACTGTACAAGTGAGCTGTTTCTCACATCTACCTATGTTTTACAAAAGCACACACTGTAGGTTCTCTTGCGTTCCCATTATCGAGATGACTGTTAATAGTTATCTGTACACTTTTTGTACATCACCTCAGTTAACTCCTGCATATGCTCTGTGCATAAATGAAGGTTTAAAGATCATGTAACCAGCTCAGGGTTATTACACGGCTGGTAAACCATAGTCGGGATTCCAGCTCGGTTTTAGGACTTCAGAGCCCAGCTGGCCAGCACAGAGTTAAGTTAGGTCATGTTAAACTCTTCCCCACTGGCCAGCAGGTGGAAGCTGCCTTTGAGGGGTATATACTCTCTCCCCAAACCAAAGCATAGGCAACAGGTCCAATGCAGCAAGACCCATTCCTGTACCTGCCTTTATGCCTCTGTGACAGATGCTTTGAGGAAGACCAAGATGAAGAGGACCGGCCTCCCAGGGCTCACATCCAATGAACACATACTTGTTGAGTTGTATCTGTGGCTTGTTGGACTTAGAAGTAATACAGAATTTTGAGCGTAGTAATTTCCTGGTATGTTGTGAACGAAATGGAGAAATAGTTTATTGGATGGCGTTCAGGTGGGAAAACATAATACTGTGATTTTTACTATAACACTTTCCCCAAGCACTTCCACACTTCCCTTCGTGTTTCAGAGATACCTGACATTCCCCGAGATTTGAATCTCGGTCCAATAGCTCCAATAGTGTGTTAAAGGGCATCACTTGGAGAAGGGCGAGTGTTGCCAAGATTCCAGCCAAAATGTGTTTCAAAATCACATGGGGTGTTTTCTGAAACCGTATTTACTATAGAAATACTAGGAGAAACAAAAAGAAAGAAAGAAAGCCTGGATCCATCCTGCTTTGTATTCTAAATACTGAATTTTCTTGAACTCTAAGAATTTACATAAGATGAAGCAACACTCAGAAAAGGTTGGCTGATCCTAAAAGGATTAAAAATCCTGTCTCAGTGGTCCAAGAGCCCTTTGTAATTTCAGCTGCTCATCGTCCTTGACTATATTTGCCAGTTTTCTGATATGAAAATGCTGGAGGTGTTCAGCACCGTGCCTCAGTTTGGGAGGTCTGCAGACACAGTGGCGGGAAGAGATGCTGTCTGATTTTTACACTTTGATTGCCTCGGCTCCCACCCACCGTGTTACCAAGGAAAAGGAGGCGTATTATCTAGTTTGTGGTTAAGCAGGAACACTTGTATCAATAAATGAGAAATATAAAGGAAGAGTGATTTCCCTTCTATTAAATAACCTAAGACAAAAAAAATAGGAAAAAGTTGTTACCCATCAACAATGTTTAAATATCTATGTATTCTAAGAATGAGAAAATGGGGTCAGGCACAGTGGCTCACTCCTGTAATCCCAGCACTTTGGGGGGCCGAGGTGGGCAGATCACGAGGTCAGGAGTTCAAGACCAGCCTGGCCAACATGATGAAACCCCATCTTTAATAAAACTACAAAAATTAGCTGGGCGTGTTGGTGTGCGCCTGTAGTCCCAGCTATTTGGGGAGCTGAGGCAGAAGAATCACTTGAACCCAGGAGGCAGAGGTTGCAGTGAGCCGAAATCACACCACTGCACTCCAAACTGGGTGACAGAGCAAAACTCCATCTCAAAAAAAAAAAGAATGATAAAATGATAACACAAAGGTTATTTCCACTAAGAAAGTCACTCTGAAGGATGGGTGTGGTGGCTCATGCCTGGAATCCCAGCACTTTGGGAGGCCGAGGTGGGAGTATCTCTTGAGCCCAGGAGTTCCAGACCAGCCTAGGCAACATGGCAAGACCCCATATCTACAAAAAATATAAAAATTAGCTTGGCATTTTGGTACATGCCTGCAGTCCCTGCTACCCACTACTCAGGTGGCTGAGGTGGGAGGATCACTTGAGCCCATGTGGTTGAGGCTGTAATGAATCCAGATCATGCCACCGCTCTACAGGCTGGGCAACAGAGTGAGACCCTGTCTCAAAAGGAAAAAAAAAAAAGTCACTCTCAGTATAACTTTTAGGTAATATTCTAAAAGAAATTGGAAAAAAAAATTTCCTACAAATAATCTAGTAAATAACCAACTACTTACTTAACATGGTAAAACCACATGGATGGTTCCAAGGTATCTCAAACTGAACATACTCAAAACCAAATTCATGATATTCTTCTGTCAAACATGCTCATTCCCAGTGTTCCATTTATCAATGCCCTCATTCACCCAGCTACATAAGGCAAAAATTTGGGGGGGGGGTCATCCTTGACATTCACTCTCCCTCACCCACAAAGTGGTCACCAAGATTATTCTTTTTGCCTTCAAATTCTTTCTCCGACCTACTTTCTGCATCTCCACCCTCCCACTACCATCTCCTCACCTGGAGCATTACCTGAGCCTCTTCTTGCCTCACTTATTTACTCTTGCACCCACTTGGGTCCAATCACTACACCTTTCAGAACAGATCTAATTCTGTTACCATCAGTCCAATCGCTGCACCTTTCAGAACAGATCTAATTCTGTTACCATCAGTCCAACCGCTGCACCTTTCAGAACAGATCTAATTCTGTTACCATCAGTCCAATCGCTGCACCTTTCAGAACAGATTTGATTCTGTTACCATCAGTCCAATCACTACACCTTTCAGAACAGATCTGATTCCATTACCAGCAATCCTGTGCACATGTAAAACCTTCAAGAGCCCACAGGAAGGGGCCCTAATCCTAATTATTGCTGCCCCTCTCTATCTGCCCATCCCTGCAGGCTCCTGGCTGAGGTTTTGCCATGGGATTTTCTTTAACCCAAGGATGTGATCAGAGGTGGCACATGCCTCTTCTCCCTCTGCCACGAGATGGGCATGACCCAAATTCAAGCTGCTTCTTTAGCCTGGGTCCCACAGTGAACAGGGTCCATGGAGCACAGCTGCAGCTGGCCCAGAGTCAAGACGGAACACAAGTGAGAAATCAACCTTTGTTACTGAGCCATGGAGATCTCTGCATCTGTTTGTTACACAGCATTACCTAATGAGTGCTAACTAATACACAGGGTTTCTCACTACTGTTAGATTAAAATCCAAAATCCATAACTTGGCTTCAAAACCCTGCTTCCATTTCTTTAAGTTAAGCTTGCTTCCTCACACCAGCCCTGTGTTCACCCTCTTCAGAGCCCCACTCCCCTCTCGGTTGTGTTGGCAATGACCAGTTTCCACTTCAGTTTAGAAGTCACTTCTGCAAGGAAGAGGGTCCCTTACCCTCTGTCAATCCACCACATACTGCTCCTTCCGAGAATGTATCAGATTTGTCATTTGATATTTATTTTCTTGTTGGATTGCTATCTCTACCTCTTCTTGAGGCATTAATAACCACGAAAATTTCTTTGCTTATTTGTTTAGTGTCTGTCCCTCCTCCAGCCTCCACACACTCTCAAAATCTCAGAAGAACAGATACTTTCTGGTTTTGCTAACCATTGAACTCAAAGGCTAGCTAATTGCCTGGCACATAGTAAGTGTTCAATACGTTTCTATGAATGAATGAATGATTCATAGAGGACCAAACACTATAGTTTAAAATATATTCTAAAATGTAAACATAATAATTATTAAAGCATTTGCTGAATTGAGTAACATGATTAAATGCTTGTATTTAAGAGCAGTAACGAGATTACAGTAATCTAGATGTCTGTCTTCTCCCATATCCACATCATTCCTGCCTCTGAAGTGCTGATTATAAGTAACACCCTACTCCCGTGTCACGTGGCCTGACAGCAGTGCTTCTCAAACCCCAGCCTGCCTCAGAATCAGCTGGAGGGCTCGTTAGACACGTACAATGCTGGTCCCACCCCCAGAATGTCCGATTCCGTACTATGAGGTAGGACTCAAGAATGCACATTTCTAACAAGTTGTAGGGGGTCCAATGCTGCTGGTCTAGGGACCACCCTAGGAAAGCCACTGCCTTAGAACTTACAAAGCACTTTCACTGGGAGAGGTGGGAAGAGAAGAGAAGCAACTTCTGTGCCCCAGAAACTTCCCGTTGGTTATCGCAAAGATTCCAGAAGCAACCAGAGACTCCGACTGAGACATTCCACAAACCATGCAGGAGCCACTTCCATCCAACAAGTCGGAACCTCTACTCCAAAATGTCCATTCTTAAGCATGCCATGTTTTCACAAAGGAGAAACAGACACATCAGAAACCACAACCCAATGTTTCCTTTACACATCTGTATATTATAAAATGTCAGGTTTGCTCAGCAGGAGAGCGAAGGGGAAGTGGGACCCTCGCTTCCAATTGAGTAGAGGTTAAATTCGCCTGTGCTCAGGAATGAGATTTGAGCATGAAGCGAACCTGTCGGGGAGCGGCCCCCACAAACACTGAGGCTCAGAAAAGCCTCGTCCCCACCCGCTCCTCCCTGAGTAGAGGCAGGAGTCTGAGAAATACCACCCAGGCTGTGCAACTCTTAGTCACTCTAAGAATATATTGATTTGGTCCCGTACATGCTTCATTTACTCATCTGCTGCTATTCCTTGCCCTTCAGTCCTTGTCCTGATTATTTTTATGCACAATCAGAGAAATGTCTTTCCTTGAGCCCCAAACCCCTTTTATTTTCCTGAATCTGGAAAACCTGGTGTGACCAGCACATTCCAGGCACCCGGCCCACCCTGTCTCACCTCGTCAGTGTGCTGCCTGATGCCTCTATTGGACATCCCACACAAAGAACAAGATGTCCAGACTCCCCAGGAAAAGGTGGGGACAGGGCAGAGGAACTTGTTGATTCCACCCTAATCAAACCCCATTTCAAACCCTGAAATGAACGTTTCTCACTTAATCCCAATTCTTCACACTTGTCTTAGGATGTGATTTAACATGAAATGTGAAATATTTGCTTTGTGGCACTCGGGTCTGGTCTGCACACCGATTCCACGGTGCTAATCCCCTCGGAGTGCTGCAATTTAAGACCGGAGCTGGCAGGAAGCGCCTCACTCTCTGTGGAGCTACAGCAGCCTGTCTGTGAAACCTACTCAGGAGAGAAACCAGGGAAAGGGAGCGAGCAGGAAAGCAACTATGTCTAAACTGCCCCCAGGGGAGCCCTGTGCGCCTCTGACCCTCACAGCTCCATAGCACTCAAGGACCAAAAGCAGGCCACCAAGTTTACCATATGTCCTCTTTGAGAGGTACAAAATACAGCACTGTACACTCTTTTCCATCTTTCTCTCATTTTTCTGAGAGGAAGCAGTGGTTAAGAATGCAAGTTTTGGGGCCAGGCACAGTGGCTCACACCTGTAATCCCAGCACTTTGGGAGGCCGAGGTGGGCAGATCACCTGAGGTCAGGAGTTTGAGACCAGCCTGGCCAACATGGCAAAACCCCATCACTACTAAAAGATAAAAATTAGCCGGGTGCGGTGGCGCATACCTGTTGTCCCAGCTACTCGGAAGGCTGAGGCAGGAGAATCGCTTGAACCTGGGAGGTGGATGTTGCGGTGAGCCAAGATCACACCACTGCACCCCAGACTGGGCAATGCAACAACTCTGTCTCAAAAAAAAAAAAAATGCAAGTTTTGGAGTTCTATATTAAGTTCAAATTCTGAATCTGCCACATTCTATACCTTGGACAAATCATTTTAAACTTTCAGCAGATTTAGTTTCCTCCTCTGGAAATTGGGATGGTAGCAGCAACTATTCCATAATGATTTTATAAAAATTAAATGGGGTAATTTGTGTGAAACACCCAGGATAGTGATGGTAAATAGAAAGAGACCAATCCAAGGTAGTTGCTAAAACTATTTTATTGCTATTATCACTAAGAGTGCTTATAAAGAGGAAACCAGGTGGTTGTGGTTGTTATAAAAGATGTCGCTGATGCTTTGGCTCTCCTGGGTACCATGTTTTTGCATTGTTTAGGTGACTCTTGGATGTCTCCACATCTGTATTTCACTGGAGTTGTCTTATGTAGACCTATGCACAGCAGAAGTAATGTATATTTGTGGTTGTGGCTATTAGAAAAGCCAACTAACATTATATTCATTTTACAGGCAGAAAAAAATAGGAAAAGATTCCATCTCTTGTGCATGGCAAACCAACATGAAAAATGAAATCCCAGCTTCATAATTCACCATATACTGGTCCCAGAGGTGGGCCTGTTAGTGATGCTTTGGAGGAGCTCCCAAAGAGAAACCCCACGACAGTGGCAGCAGCAGGAACAGCAGTGGTCTTCTCATTAGTTCGGGTGATGATTTGCCAGGGAACACGGAGGCTAACACATGCTACTCTAGTGAGATACTGACGGTGTGACCCTCTGTTCAGTGTGTACCCCAATGCCATATGCTGCAAAATCAAGGCAGATCTGAGAACATGTTACTGCTGGGACCAGGGATATGGGTTCGACACCACTGCTCACACCATGCCAGGGGACTCGATTCAAATGCTCTGGGACACAATACACTGTGACTGATGCTCCCTGTCATTACACAAACTGTATGCTGAAGAAAAAAAAAAAGAAGAGAAATTACTTCATTCCTGCTCTCTCCCAACCATCCACGTGAGAGGCTAGAACCTAAAGAAAAAAAACAAATTCATGATCCCTGGAAGCAGGAATAGTCAAGGGATTTTCATGAACAAGAACGGCTGATATTCCATTATTAAACCATTTGTGATACTCAACGGTGATGCTGCTCCACTCGGCGACACCAGACCTACATCCATCCGTGTGTTGACAGTGCCTTGTTCTACGGAGGGATTAGGGCATGGTGTGCTGGGAAATGTTCAACACTTTGCTGCCTGGGAATAAAAGTCTTGATTTCCCAATTTCCATGGTGTAAATACTGCCACTATGGTCATTTCCAAGTTACCAATGTGATTTGAATGCAGAGTTGGGAAGGGGAACACATCTTTTAGGGTTATGGCTCCCAAGGACATGGGGACGACAGGGAGAAAACACAACACGGAAGTCAAATAAATAAGAATTCAACAAAATTAAAATCTGAAGAGGTATAACTAGGGAAAATGGAAATCACTTGTAAGAATCCCTCCATATATTTGCAATGATGCTGATTTTTCTACTGTGCATAGGCCTACACAAGTCAACCCCAGTGAACTACAGATGTGGTGATATCCAAGAGTCACCTAAACAATGCAAAGACATGGTACCCAGGAGAGCCAAAGCATCAGCAAAATCTCAGCCAAAGCACACAAGCGACTACTGAGAAGAGGGGTCTAAAACATTTTTCTTACTTATGAAACAAACAAACAAAAAAAAACTATGAGAAAGTCGAAAGGTATGAGATTTTCTGAATTTAAGATTGGAGCATACTTATCCAAATTCTATTCATCTCTTTTTGAAACTTTGTCACTCACTCCCCAGGCTTCCAATTGCTCATGCCTCAGTTTCTTCCTCTATGAAATGGGTGTGCTAATCATGAATTTCCTATCCCACAGCATGATACAACTACCGTTTTATTTTTTTACTGATACATAATATTTGTACATATTTATGGGGTACATGTGATATTTTCTTGCATGCACAGAACGCACAAGGATCAAGTCAGGGTATTTAGGATATCTACCGCCTCAAGCATTTATCGTTTCTATGTATTAGGAACATTTCAAATCCTTTCTTCTAGCTACTTTGAAATACGCAATACATTATTGTTAACTGTAGTCACTTTACTCGGCTATCAAATATTAAGAATGTATTCTTTCTATCAAACTGTATGTTTGTACCCATTGACCAATCTATCTTCATCCTCCCACCAACCACACACCCTTCCCAGACTCTGGAATCTATCACTCTACTCACCACCCCCATGAGAACAGCTTTTTTAGCCTCCACATATGAGTGAGAACATGTGATATTTGTTTTCTGTGTCTGGCTTAACATAATGACCTTAACATAATGACCTTCACTTAATGTAATGACCTCCAAGTCCATCCATGTTGCTACAAATGACATTCTTTTATTCTTTTTTGAGGACAAATAGTATTCTATTGTGTCTATATATACATTTTCTTTACCCATTCATCTGTTGCTGGTTATGTAGGTAGATTCCATATCTTGGCTCTTATGAATAGTGCTGCAATAAACATGGGGGTGCAGGTGTCCCTCTGATATACCAGGTTCCTTTCCTTTGGATTAAAACTCAGTAGTGTGACTGCTGGATTGTATGGTAGTTCTATTTTTAGTTTTCTGAGAAATCTCCATACTGTTTTCCATGGTGGCTGTACTAATTTACATTCCCACCAATATCATCTTGAACACCCTCCTAACTACCTTTTAAAATGAATACCAAACCACAGAAAGTTCACTGAGGGCATTTTTTCACTCACACCTTAGATTGCAAGAGCTTGGAATTCAGAAATGCTCACCTTTCAGAACTATAACTTCTAGACTCCCTAAAACTAAATATCAGCAAACAAAACCTGAAAATCAATTTTTAAAGAATGTCACTTGAGAGTAACCTGGACAAAATCTGAGAAACCTCTGTTCAAAGGTATCAGAGAACCACCAAGACAGAAAAGACTTGAAATGCCAAGATCCTTCTAGAGAAAGGAAGTCACTGGCGTCACTCTTTCCCTGTAGGCACTTCTATTTAAAAGTAACAGCAGAGAGGCTAAGAAGCTGAGCAAAGATTTCAGGCATCTCACAGAGCTGAGGAGGCAAAGATTGGAATATAGCACTCACCAAGAAAGAGAGTCCTACTAAACATCTGATGCTTTTAGTTGGGACCCCTCAAAAGTTACTCCTAGGAAAATATATGCCTTTCTATATAGGAGTATATGGAGATATATAAACCCCTAGAAATACTGGAGATGAACTTGAATCAACTCAACATCTGATTAAAGTGATCAATTCCTATACTTACTACCTACCAAAAGCAAAAATAAATTTTGAGAGGAAAATAAAATAATCTCAATAATTTTATACAAATTGAAACTTAATCAAAATAATAATTTGATCAAAAGTAACTAGGCAAAGCCAGGCATGGTGGCATGCATTGGTAGTCCCAGCTACTGGGGAGGCTAAGGCAGGAGGATCACTTATGCCTAGGAGTTAAAAACCAGCCTGCAAAACATAGCCAAAAAACTATCTTTAAACAAATAAATAGGCAAATTGATAAAAAGACAAGAGTGTGCCAAAAAGCAAAAGAAACAAAAAGAAATAGAAGACACAAGAGATCAAGATATAGTATTAGAATTATATGACATAGATGTGAAAAAAACATGTTCAAGAAAATAAATGATAAACATATTCAAGAAAATAAATGAGAATATGGTCAATTTCAGTTGAGAACTATAAATTACTTAAAAAGAATAAAAGGAAATTTTTGGACAGAAAAAAATTAATCACAATTAAGAACTCAATGTGTTTAATAGCAGATTCAAAATGATAAAGGAGAGATTTAGTCAAATGGAAGGTAGTTAATAAGAAAATATATAAACTGAAGGACAGAAAACCAAAAGAATGCAAAGTACAAAATAGAGTATAAGATATATGGAACAGCCAGAAAATGTGTCATATTTGCACTTGGAGTCTCAGAAAGAGAAGAATGAGATAATCAGGTGAGAGATGAATTTGTATCATGCAAACTTGGCCAAGCTGGTATTACTTTTGTTAGACTTTTCTTCCCTGAATAGCATGGATTCATGTGGGTTACAAGAGATGTTTTGTGCTAGCTTCAGAAAACAGAAGTGAGGTAGCAGTCATACTCCCTTCCACTCAGAAGGTCATAGCAAAGCACAGGGCGCTATTGCCACTCACATACCTCATCATTTACCTGTGGACTGAAATCCTGTCAGATTTCCCCCTTCCAGTAGAGGAGATGGAGCAAGATGGCTGAACAGAACCCTCCAGCAATCATCCCCTGGCCAAAACACAAAATTGAACAACCATCAGGGCAAGAAAGCACCCTCAGAAGAACAAAAAAATCAGGTGAATGAAGCATTGAAGAGGGTAAGAAAGACAGTCCTGCATTGCCTACACCACCCCTCCACCAACCCCAGGAAGCACAGCACAGAGAGGAAATCTGTATCCTCGGAGTGGGGAGAGTGAAGTGAGTGTGGGACTTCACATCGGAACTCAGTGCTGTCCTGTCACAGTGGAACATAAAACGGGACAGAATTCTGCTGATGACTATGGATGGAGCATTCAGACCAGTCCAGGGCGAGAGAGGAATTCTCCACCCCAGTGGGGGGAAACTGAGTCCTAGCTGGTTCCACCACCAGCTGACTAACGTGGCCTGAAGCTTGGAATAAATATGACTGGCAGTCAGGCCACAAGGACTGCAGTCTTTGGGCAAGCCCTGGTGCCGCACTGGTCTCAGAGGCAGTAGATTTGTGGTGCAACCAAGTGTGACACCGCCTATGGTGGCCAAGGGAGGGCCTATGTCACCCCTCCCCCAACTCTGGGCAGACATTCAGAGACAGACTCCTTCTGATTCAAGGAAAGAGAGGAAAGAGAGTGAGAGACATTGCCTGATAACCCCAGGAATTCTCCCTTCTTTTCCCCAAGAGTCCATTTTTGAAAGCAGCAGAACAACATCAAATGCTGGCAAAGATGTAGAGCAACAGAAACTCTCATTTGTGAGTGGTGGGAATGCGAGATGGCACAATACTTTGGAGGACACTTTGGCAGTTTCTTATAAAATTAAACATACTCTTACCATGTGATCCAATAATCAGCCCCCTTGATATTTACCCAAGTGATTGAAAACTTATATGCACATAAAAACTTTCACACAAATGTTTATTGCAGCTTATTCATAACTGCTAAAACTTGGAAGCAACCAAAATGTCCTTCAGTAAGTGAATGAATAAATTGTGGTACATCCAGATAATAGAATATTATCAGCACTAAAAAGAAATGTGTTATCAAGCCGTGAAAAGACATGGAAGAATCTTAAATGCACGTTACTGAGTGAAAGAAGCCAATTTGAAAAGACCACATACTGTATGATTCCAACTATTTGACATCCTGGCAAAGGAAAAATGATGGAGATAGTAAAAAAATCAGTGGTTGCCAGAGGCTAGCAGGGAGGGAGGCCTGAATAGGCACAGCAGAGAGGATTTTTAGAGCAATGAAACAGTTCTTTATATCATACTGTAATGGTGGACACATGGCATCATATATTTGTCAAAACCCATAGAATATACACCACCAAGAGTCAACCCTAATGTAAACTATGGACTTTGGGTGACAATGATGTACCAATGCAGGTTTATCAATTCTAACAAATGCACTACTCTGAAGTAGGATGTTGATAGTGAAGGAGACTGTGTGTGATGGGGGGAAAGGGTATATGGGAATTCTGTATATTTTTTTTTAGACAAGATCTCATTCTGCTGCCCAGGCTAGAGTGCAGTGGCATGATCACGGTTCACTGTAGTCTCTACCTCTACCTCCTGGGCTCAAGTAATCCTACCGCCTCAGCCTCCTGAGTATCTGGGACCACAGGCACACGCCACCATGCCTGGCTAATATTTTGTATTTTTTTGTACAAGCAGGGTTTCACCATATTGGCCAGGCTGGTCTTGAACTCCTGGGCTCAAGCAACCCTCCCACATCAGCATCCCAAAATGCTGGGATTACAGATGTGAGCCACCATGCTCAGCCTCAATTTTTCTATGAATTTAAAACTGTTTTTAAAAATAAAACCAGTTTTTAAAGCAGCAAGGGGAAAAAAGCATATTACCATCAAAGGAGCAACAGTAAGACTGACAATATACTTTTCAATAACATAGTGGAAACCAATAGACAACAAAATCACATAAAAGGGCCAAAATAATGTAACTCCCGAACTTTAGAATTATATTTGAATTTTATACCCAGCAAAACTACCCATATAAAAATGAAAGCAAGCTGCTTGGGGACATAAAGAGCTGAAAACAGCATTGCTCCCACACTAATATGAAAAAGCTAGACAATCTGAAAGTTCATTACTTTCTAAAAACTATCAGAGAACTCAGGTTTCAGAGAAATCAAATGGCCCCAAATCTAAAGAGATATAAATCTAAGACCTTCAGGGAAAGATGAGATATGAGCACTGGTTTCCCCGAGGTGGACACAAGTGTATGCTTGTAAGAGCAGTTCAGCTAACATAGTTAGTAAATTGCTGAAAGCTGAGCATGCACTGGCAAGTGTGTGAAGCCCCTATGAGTCAAAGAAATTGGAGAATATTGACCGGGTGTGGTGGCTCAGACCTGTAATCCCAGTACTTTGGGAGGCCAAAGTGGGCAGATCACTTGAGGCCAGGGGTTCAAGAACAGCCTGGCCAACATGGTGAAACGCCATCTCAACTAAAACTATAAAAATTAGCCAGATGTGGTGGAGCATGCCTGTAATCCCAGCTACTCGGGAGACTGAGGCAGGAGAATCGCTTGAACCCAGGAGGCAGAGGCTGCAGTGATCTGAGATCACGCCACTGCACTCCAGCCTTGGCAACAGAGTGAGACTCCATCTCAAAAAAGAAAAAAAAAAGAAATTGGAGAATCTGTCCCTTCTTCAGGCTTTTTTTCCAGGGACCCCACTGGGAGCTCACAAAAATTGAAAAGGGCCCTATGAAAGTGTTCTCTGAGGTGTAAAACAGGAGAAAAGAAGAGCAAACACAATGGGAGGGGTGCAAAATCCATCCACAGTCTTCTCTTCTATCACCTGTCTGAAATAAATCCTTAATCTGTGCAGGGAAGGGCAACAAACACTATTTTCCTTAGGGCACCAGTGAAAATACATTGCAGCTGGTGGAAGAGAACCAGAAAAAAAAAATACCCTATCACTATGAGGAGAGAGGGGAGTAAGAAATATGTGCTGGGTCCAGCACTACAGCCAGCAGAGGAGCAGGGTCATTGAGTCTTAGGAACATAGTGCCCATCTAAGACTGAGGTTCAATCAGAACAACAGAGAATATTCCCCCCCATTATCCCACTACTACAAGGCTAACTAGCATTGAATAACAGGTGAGAGTGTAGAACTCCTGGGACAGGGAGAGAAGAGGGACAAGAGCATATAAACAGACTTTTTCTGAAAAAAGAAAAAGAGGAAGAAGAAGACTTAAAAATGAGCATGGAACACACATTGAAGGAAAAACCCTCTGGCAAATCTGCCCCTTCTCTAAACAGTAGGTGTCATTAGAGAAATTTAAGGATTGTGATGCACTGAAGTTAACCATAGCAACAACATACCTCAGTCCAACCTCATCCCTAACTAGCTTATTTCACATCCCAGCACAAAGGCCCAGCAGGAACCAAAAGTGTGCTCATCCCAGCCTGCAAAATGATTGACCCTAGTTTACTGCATATATGAGATACCTGGCTTTCAGCAAAAAGTGAAGAAGCATGTGAAAAGGCAAGAATATAATAACACTGTTGAAGAGGCAAGGCACTCATCAGAACCAGACTCAACTGTGATGGGGATGTTTGAACTACCTAATAGAAAATTTTAAATAACTGTGATTAATATTTTAAAAGCTCTAATGGAGAAGGTAGACAACAGGCAAGATCAGATGGGCAATTTCAGCAGAGAGACTGAAACTCTAAGAAAGAATTAAAAGCAAATGCTAGAAATTTTTTTTAAATGACAGCAACAGCAACAACAAAAAGTAGCAGAGATGAAGAAAGTCTTTGATGACCTCATCAGTAGATTTGACCCAGCTAAGGAGTGAAGCAGTGATGCTGGTTCATAGGAATTACCCAAACTGAAAACAAAAAGAAAAATGAGGACACACACACACACATATATATACATACACACCCTTCACATATATTTAAACTGCTGAAAACAAAAGACAATGAGAAAACCTCAAAGGCAGCCAGAGAAATAAGACACATTATATATAGGAAAACAAAGTAAGAATTAAACAGCCTTCACATCAGAATTCACACAAGCTAAAAGATAATGGAGTGACATCTCTTAAGTGATAAGTATAAAAACAAAGACAGATGGAACGAATAGAAAATGGCTAACAAGATAGATTTTAATACAGATATATCAGTGATCGCATTAAATGTGAACAGTTCAACCACACCAGTTAAAAGACAAAATTGACAAATTGGATAAAAAAGCAAGACCTGTCCACATTATATCTACAACAAACTTCCTTTAAGCAAAAATACAAAAATAGTTTCTTAGAAAATGAAAAAAAAAAAGATAGACAAACACTAATGAAAAGAGAGTTGGAGTAGCTATATCAATATCAAAGTAGACTTCAGAACAAGGAATATTATTAAGAATAAAGAAGAACTTTATTTAATGATAAATAAGTCCATAGTCCAAGATGACAAAACTGCCCTAAATTGACCTAACAACAGAGCTTCAAATTACATGAATTACAACAAAACACAATGAAACTGAAAGAAGAAACAGACCAATCTACAATTATAGTTGGAGACTTCAATATTCCTCTCTCAGGAATCAACAGAACAAGTAAACAGAAAATCAGTAAGAATATAGGGCTGATCAACGCTATTGATCAAATTGACCTAAAGCAGAATACACGTTGTTTACAAGTGTACATTCCTTAAGAGAGACCATATTCAGACCATAAAACAAACCTTAACAAATTTAAAAGAATAGGAATCATACAAAGTATATTCTCAGACCATAATGGAATTAAACTAGAAATCAGTAACAGAAAGATTTCTGTTAAACTCCAAAATATTTGGAAATAAACAACACATTTCTACATTACCCATGAGTCAAAGAGGAAGTGTTAAAGGAAATAAGAAAATATTTTGAACTGAATGAAAACAAAATTACAGTATATCAAAATTTGTTGGAAGCAACTAAAGCATTGTTTAGAGAGAAGTTTGTAGCATTAAATGCTTATATGAGGGAAGAAGAAAGGTTTTCAATCAATACTCTAAGTTTTCATTTTGTGAAACTAGAGAAGAAAAGCAAATTCAACCCAACATAAGCAGAAGAAAGGAAATAATTAAGAGCAGAAATCAATAAAATTGCAAACCAAAGAAATGAAAGCATGAGAAAGACATTTTCAAACAGAATCTGACAAAATTCATTACCACAGCCCCACATTTTCTTAAAGGAAATGACTAAAACAAGTTCTTCGGATAGAAGCAAAATGATTCTGCATGAAAACAGAGATATAGAGTATTAGTTCCCACTTGCCGCTGTAATAAATGGCCACAAACATCATAATTTAAAACAATGTGCGTGTATTATCTTACGGCTCTGGAGATTGGAAGTCTGACATGGTTCTCACTGAGCTTTAAAATCTGTGTCCACGGTGCTGCATTCCCTTCTGGAGACTCCAGGGGATAGTCTGTTTCTTGACTTTGCTGGGTCTAGAGGTCTCCTGTGTTCCTTGGATCAAGGTCCTGTCCGCCATCCTTAAAGCCAGCAATGTCGGGCTGAGGCCTTCTCACACTGCCATCTCTCCTTCTCCTCTCCTGCCTCCCTCTTACACAGTTAAGTCTCCTAGTGATGATTAATTGGGCCGGCCCAGGATAATCCCTCGAACTGATGAGCAGCCTTAGTTCCTCCTGGAACCTTTATTCCCCCTAACATATTCACAGTTTCCAGAGATTAGAATGAGACGTCTTTGTGGGGGCCATTGTTCTGTCTACCACACACAGAAAGAAACGAAGAACAAGAGAAAGGATGGCTACACGGGTAAATCTAAAAGAATACTGGTTGTCAATAATGACTGATATTTTGTGAGGTCTTATATATATTTAGAATTAAATCCTGCACAAAAGGCAGGATTGAAGGTAAATAGAGTCAAACTTTTTGGGGTCTGTGCATTGTCCAGGAATAGACAGATGTGCAACTTTATATTCAATTTTAATAAGGTAGTGCTATTGTCATCTCTTGGTCCTTGGATAACCAGTAAAGGAAGGTATAACTTAACAGCTGATAGAGATGGGACATGGAATAATATTTTCGTTTCTTGTTTTCTCTGTCACCCAGGCTGGAGTGCAGTTGCATGATCATAGCCCACTGCAGCCTCAAACTCCTGGCCTCAAGCGATCTTCCCACTTCAACCTCCAGAGTTGCTGGACTACAGGTATGTGCCACCACACCCAGCTGCTTTTTTTTTTTTTTTAATAGAGATGGGTATCACTGCATTATCCAGGCTGGTCTCGAACTCCTGGGCTCAAGCGATCCTCTCACCTTGGCCTCCCGAAGTGCTGGGATTACAGGCATAGGCCACTGCGCTCAGCCATGAATAATTTTTAAATACATAAATAATCCAAAAAATGGGCAAGCAAGGAGAAGAAAAGGAACATAAAACAAGTGAGATAAATAGAAAATAAATTTTAAGATGATAGATCTAAGTTCCAAGAGTGTCATTTGAGAAATCCATAGCTCAGAAATTTAAGGTAAGTTGCCTACAATCACAGGGCTTATGAGAGCAGACAGCAATTCTGAATCCCAGTCTCTCTTAACCAAAGCTCATTGTGCCCAAGCCCCAGCCGCCTCTAGGGTGCTCCCTGAGCTCCTCCACGGTCACCTGGGCTCTCCTGGTAATGGCCCCCCTTTGCTGCCAAGCCACCCACACCTCCTGGATCAGTTTCAGCTTGATGGGAAGTTCTTTGTTTCTATAACTGCATGTTGTGGTCATGTACAGGTGTGTCTGCTAAGATTTATGACCATAAGCAAACGTCTGTTGCTGAGCTCTTCTGTAGTGGCAGCTGAGGTGCTGCTTGGTGCAGCAGGGGAGCCCGGGGAACGCATCTCACAGAAGAGTAAATTACACACCTGAAGTGAAAGAACCGTTCCCAGGCACAGACAGATCCATTTTGCACTCAGAAGCATCCCACGCACAGCTGTGAATACTTGCATTAGTGCCAATTAATGTAAGGTGGTACCAACTCAGAGAGGCCCTGAATTTGCTCTAGGGGATAAAAATGGAGGTGGGGGAGGTGAGGAAGGAGAAAGGAAAAATAGAGTTTTCCCTGCTAAATGGAAACATCTCTAGGAGAGTCCAGCAGCTGGATGACTTGGTTAAGAAGGAGTGACCTGCCCACTTTCTTCAATTAGACATTTTACTTTCCCCAGCTAAACCACAACAACAAACAGAAAGACGGGGACAAGGAATGGTTTAGAAGCAGGATCACTGATGTTGCAGAAAGGAGCACCGTGAATCAGGACCTCTCACCACGCATGCCTCATGGGGTTCAGAGCATTTCAGCCCAAATGAAAATGAGGCAGCAGCTAAAAATTCCAACACTGCCTTCCCCTCCCACCCACATCCAGGCCCACGTGTGAGGCGAGGCAATTCAGGTATGGTATTACAAACAAGCCCCTCATAACTCTTCATTTTTAAAATCATAATATGTTGATTTTTATGTTTTTCAACAGTTTTCATACTCTGTCTGTAGCAGGACCTTCCCACCGCCTTGATACCCTTCACTGTGCTTCAATTTATTGTGTTTTTAGATGAAATTCATGACCATTGGTGCCTTCACCGCCACAGAAAATGAGACGTAAAGGAGTAGGCCACACCCACCTGAGCTTTCCCTCCCCTCACAACATCCTGGCCACTGGAGAGATTTGCTGTTCAATTCAACAACACATGTTGAAACCTATGCTGTCCCAGACTCTGCTGGGAGTTGAGACTGCGGAGATGACTAAGACCTGGCCCCCATCCTCAAGCAGCTCTCAGTGCAGGGACGGAGAAACACCTGTAAGCGGACTCTGCAGTGGTAAGGAAGGTACAACTCCCAGGGGGCTACCCCATTCAGAGACAGTCTCAGAGAATGCTGAGCACCAGCCCTGATCACCGCCAACAACTCATCCCTAGAGGTGAACACATTTTCCTATGAAAAAACAACTCATCCAAATGGGATCACATCAAGTTAAAAAGCTTCTCCACAGCAAAGGAAACAATGAACAAAGTGAAGAGACAACCCACACAATGGGAGAAAATGTTTGCAAATTATCCATCTGACCAGGGATTAATAACCAGAATATACAAGGAGCTCAAACAACTCTATAGGAAAATATCTAGTCATCCAATTTAAAAATTGGCAAAAGATCTGAATAGACATCTCCCAAAAGAAGACATACAAATGGCAAACGGGCACGTGAAAAGGTGCTCAACGTCACTGATCATCAGAGAAATGCAAATCACAACTACAATGAGATGTCATCTTACCGTTGTTAAAATGGCTTTTATCCAGAAGACAGGCAATAACAAATGCTGGTGAGATGTGGAGAAAAGGGAACCCTCCTACACTGTTGGTGGGAATGTAAATTAGTAGAGTCACTATGGAGAACTGTTTGGAGGTTCCTCAAAAAACTAAAAGTAGAGCTATCATATGATCCAGCAATCCCACTGCTGGATATATACCCAAAAGAAAGGAAATCAGTTTATCAAAGAGGTACCTGCACTCCCATGTTTATTGCAGCACTGTTCACAATAGCCAAGATCTGGAAGCAACCCAAGTGTCCATCAACAAATTAATGGATGAAGAAAATATAGTACATATACACAATGGAGTACTATTCAGCCATAGAAAAGAATGAGATTCTGTCTTTTGCAACATGGTGGAACTAGAGATCATTATGTTATGTGAAATAAAACAGGCACAGAAAGACAAACTTCTCGTGTTCTCACTTATTTGTGGGAGCTAAAAAAACAGTTGAATTCATGAAGATAGAGAGTAGAAAGATGGTTACCAGAGGCTGGGAAGGGTAATAAGGGGGTGAGGGGAAGGGAGGATGGTTAATGGGTACAAAAAAGTAGTTAGAATAACTTAGTAGATAGCATAACAGGATAACTAGAGTCAATAATAATTGTAGATTTTAAAATAACTAAGATGGCATAAATTGGATTGTTTGTAAAACAAAGGATAAATGCTTGAGGTGATCAATACCTCATTTATCCTGATGTGATGACACATTATACACCTGTATCAAAAATCTCATATGCTCAATAAATATATACCCCCAGTATGTTCCCACAAAAATTAAACATTAAAAAAAACAACTCATCTATTCCTCTTTATGCCTCCATCAGAAACCATTTCAAACAGCAACTAGAACTCTCACACACTGCCTGGGGGAAGACAAAATGGTACCACCAATTTGCAGAACTGTTCTGCAGTTTCTTAAAGGTAGATATACATTTACCACGTGGCCCAGCAATTCTCCTAGGTTTTTACCCAACAGAAATGAAAACTTATGGCCACACAAACATCTATAGTTAAGTGTTTATAGCAGCTGTGTTCATCGTAGCTCAAACTGGAAACAAGTCAAATGTTTAGCAATCATTGATAAGTCAGATTGTGGTACATTCATAAAATAAAATAATATTCATGTATGAAGAGAAGAAACTACTGATACACACAACATAGATGAAAAAAGACACATACACACACAATTTTGAGAAAAAAATTATTAAAGTGCATCAGCCTTTCTAGATTTGAAATATTTTTGGAATTCAAAAACTATATGAATATTTTAGAGTTTGTTCCTGAATGCTGAAACCAAGAAAGTTTTTTTTTTGGTAACAAGAATAGTAACAGAGTAATGACCAATAATGCAGGTAAATTCAATTGGATCATGGGCCAGCCCACGTTTACTTTATGATTGATGTTATTGATATTGTTTTTCTAAAAACTATGATAGGCTCACAAGCTGATATGGTCATTTTAGGGAGGCTAGACCACTGCCTTCCTGATTATGTTACCTAATTAAGGGTTCCAGTCGTGAGGTGTCCAGGTTCTTGGTGTGTTCAACAAAGAATTGAACGACACACAAACGAGTGGTGAAGAAGTGGATTTATTAGAGCAGAAAGCAGGGAAGGAGCAAAAGCAAAAGTACACTCCACAAGATGAGAGCAGGCTCTAGCAATTG